>NC_000012.12:99278309-99581340 GCF_000001405.40 Homo sapiens | reverse complement strand
GTTTCTGTGCCATTTGTTGAAAATTTCATTATTTTCCTATTTAATTACCTTGGTGTCACTGTAGAAAATCAAATGGTCACATCTGGTGAGTTTATTTCTGGACACTCTTATTTTATTCCACTGATCTCTGTGCCTATTCTTATGTCAAAACCCATGCAGTTTTGATCACTCTACTTTTGTATTAAGTCTTGAAATCAAATAGTGTTAATTTCCCAATATTGTTCTTTGTCAAATTGTTCTGGTTGTTCTAGGTACTTTGCGTTTCCTTATTTATCTTAGAATCAGCCCATCAATTTCTATAATATATAGAAATTATAGAAATCCTGGGGTATTTACTGTGATTGCACTGAATATATAGGTCAATTTGGAAAGAATTGGCATCTTATAAATAATGAATTTTCTATCCATGAACATCATGCATAGCTACCTTAATTTAGGACTTGATTTTTATTTAAATTGGCACATAATGATTGTACATATTTGTGGGGTACATGTGGCACATTGGTACATGCAAACACCAGGTAATTATCAAATCCAGTTAACTGGGATATTCATTACCTCAAATATTGATCATTTCTATGTATTGGGAACATTTTAAATCTTCTAGCTATTTTGAAATATACAATAAATTATCATTAACTATAGTGATCCTACTGTGCTATTGAACAATAGAACTTATTCCTTAGGTCTAACCATATTTTTTTACCCATTAACCAATTTCTCTTCACCATCCCCCGCTTCGCTACCCTTCCCAACCTCTGGTAGCCACCATTCTACCCCTATGAGATCATTTTTATTAGCTCCAACATATGAGTAAATACATGCAATATTTGTCTTTCTATGCCTGGCTTATTTCACATAACATAATGTTCTCCAGTTTCAAATTTCTTTGAGCAATGTTCTGTCATTATATTTATCCCTAATAGGTCATATTTTTGAACATATTATAAATGATTTTATTAATTTTAATTTTTAATTTTTTTTCTCTTTCAACTTTTAGGTTCAGGGGTGCATGTGCAGGTTTGTTACATGGGTAAATTGTGTGTTGCTGGTGTTTGGTGTACAAATGATTTTGTCACCCAGGTAGTGAGCATAGTACCTGGTAGGTAATTTTTCAACCCTCACAGTCCTCCAACCCTCTACCCTCAAGTAGGCCCCAGTGTTTGTTCCCTGCTTTGTGTCTATGTGTACTCAGTGTTTAGCTGTCACTTATAAGTGACAATATGTGGTATTTGGTTTTCTGTTCCTATGTTAATTTGCTTAGAATAATGGTTTCTAGCTGCATCCATGTTGATGCAAAGGACATAATTTCATTCCTTTTTATGGCTGCATAGTATTCAATGGTGTGTATACCACATTTTCTTTATCCAGTCCTCCATTGATGGGCATTTAGGTTGATTTCATGTCTTTGCTGTTGTGAATAGTGCTGCAATGAACATATGAGTGTACATTTTTTTTTGGTGGAACGATTTATTTTCCTTTCAGTATATATCCAGTAATAGGATTGCTGGATTGAATGGTAGTTCTGACTTAAATTCTTTGAGAAATTTCCAGACTGCTTTCTGCTATGGGTGGACTAATTTACATGCCAACCAATAAAGTATGAGCATTCCCTTTTCTCTGTAACTTTGCAAGCATCTGTCATTTTTTGCCTTTTTAATAATAGTCATTCTGACTGATATGAGGTTGTATTTCAGTGTGGTTTTGATTTGCATTTCTCTGATGATTAGTGTTGCTAAGCATTCTTTCATGTGATTGTTGGCTACATGTATGTCTCCTTTTTGGAAGTGTCTGTTCATGTCCTTTACCCACTTTTTAATGGGGTTATTTGTTTTTGTTGTTGATTTTGTTATGTTTCTTATAGATTCTAGCTATTAGGCCTTTGATGGATGCATAGTTTGCAAATATTTTCTCCCATTCTGTAGATTGTCTGTGTACTCTGTTGAATAGTGTCTTTGGCTGTGTAGAAGCTCTTTAGTTTAATTAGATCCCACTTATCTTTGATTGTTTTTGTTTCCATTGCTTTTGGAGACTTCATCGTGAAGTCTTTGCCCAGACCTATGTCCAAAATGATACGTCCCAGGTTTTCTTCTAAAGTTTTAAACATTTTAAGTCTTATATTTAAGTGTTTAATCCAACTCGAGTTGACTTTTGTATATAGTGAAAGGAAGGGATCCAGTTTCAATCTTCTGCATATGGGTAGTCAGCTATTCCAGCACAATTTATAGAATAGGGTGTCCTTTCCCCATTGCTTGTTATTGTCAACTTTTTTGAAGATCAGTTGGTTTTAGGTGTGCAGCTTTATTTCTGGGTTTTTTAATCTGTTCCGTTGGTCTGTGTATATGTTTTTGAACCAGTACCATGCTGTTTTGGTTACTCTAGACTTGTAGTATAGTTTAAAGTCAGGTAATGTATGTCACTGGCATTGTTCTTTTTGTTTAGGATTGTTTTGGCTATTTGACTTCATTTTTGGTTCCAGATAAATCTTAGAATCATTTTTTTCTAATTTTGTGAAAAATGATGTTGGTAGTTTCACAGGAATATCACTGAATCTGTAAATTGCTATGGGCAGCATGGCCATTTTAATGATATTGATTCTTCCTATCCATGAGCATGGAATGTTTTTCCATATGTTTATGTTGTCTCTCATTTCTTTCAGCAGTGTTTGTAATTCTAATTGTAGTGATCTTTCACCTCCCTGGTTACCTGTATTCCTAGGCATTTTATTCTTTTTGTGGCTGTTGTGATTGGGATTGCATTCTTGATTTGTCTCTCAGCTTGGATTATTGGTGTATAGAAATGCTATTCATTTTTGTAATAAATTTTGTATTCTGAAACTTTGCTGAAGTTGTTTATTCTAGGAGCTTTTGGGCAGAGACTGTGGGGTTTTCTAAGTGTAGAATCATAATCTGCAAAGACAAATAGTTTGACTTCCTCTCCTTTTATTTGGATGTCTTTTATTTCTTTCTCTTGCCTGATTGCTCTGGCTAGGACCTTTAGTGCTGTTATAAATAGGAGTGGTTAGTGGGTGTGCAGTCATTTCTCATGGGGAATGCTTCCAGCTTTTGCCCATTTGACATGATGTTGGCTGTGGGTTTGTCATAGATGACTCTTGTTGTTTTGAGGTATGTTCATTTGATATCTAATTTGTTGAGGGTTTTTATCATGAAGGGATGTTGGATTTTATCAAAGACTTTTTCCATGTCTATTGACAAAATCATATGGTTTTATTTTTACTTCTGTTTGTGGTGAATCACATTTATTGATTTGTGCATATTGAACTAACCTTGCATCCCAGGAATGAAGCCTACTTGATTGGGGTGAATTAACTTTTTGATCACAGCTGGATTTGGTTTGCTAATATTTAGTTTGGGACTTTTACATCTATGTTCATCAGAGATATTGGCCTGTAGTTTTCTCTTGCGTCTCTGTCAGGTTTTGGTTTCAAAATGGTGCTGGCCTTATAGGATGAGATAGGAAGGAGTCCCTCCTCCTTAATTCTTTTTGAATAATTTTAATAGTAATGGTTTCCAGCTTTTTATACATGCAGTAGAATTCAGCGGTGGATCCATCTGGTCCAGGGCTTTTTCTGTTGGTAGGGTTTATTATTTTTATTATTACAGATTCAGTTTTGGAACTCCTTATAGATGTGTTCAGTGTTTCAGTTTCCTCCTGGTTCAGTCTTGGGAGGTTGTATGTTTCCAGGAATTTATACATTTCTTCTAGTTTCTGTGCATAGAAGTGTTTATAATTGTCTCTGAGGGTTTTTTTGTATTTATGTGGGGCTGGTGGTAATATCCCTTTTGTCATTTCTGATTGTTTTTATTTGGATCTTCTCTCTCTTTTTTAATTAATCTATCCAGCAGTCTATTGATCTTATTTATTTTTTCAACAAAGTTTTGGTCTTGTTGATCTTTAGTATGGATTTTTACATCTCAGTTTTGTTTAGTTCAGCTGTCATGTTGTTTATTTTTTTTCTTCTGCTAGCATCGGGGTTGGTTTGCTTTTATTTATTTATTTATTTATTTATTTATTTATTTATTTATTTGATGTGAACAGAGAGTTTTTAATGACAAGGAGAAATGTTTAAGACATTTGTTAAGTGAAATAGCAGGACAGAAAATTGCATGTACACAGTATAATCTTAACTGGGTAAAAAAAACTCAGAGAAAGACTGGATGGAAATATATCAAAACAATATCAGTATTTCTAGGTCTTGAGATTCAGGGTAATTATTTTCTGCTGCTTTTTTAAACTCCCCTCTACAAAATTCCTGCATGTATTACTTTTATTTTTTTAGTTCCTCTAGGTGCAATGTTTGGTTGTTAATTTGAGACATTTTTAACTTCTTAATGTAGGTTTCTAGTGCTATAAACTTTCATCTTATGTCAACAGTAGACACTAGGGTCTACTAGATGGAAGAGATAGTGAGGGGAGTGAGAGTTGAAAAACTAAGTATTGGGTACTATGCTCAGTACCTGGATGGTGGGATCATTTATACTCCAAACCTCAGCATCACCCAATATACCTAGGTAACAAGCACACACATGTATCCACTAAATCTAAAATAAAACTTGAAAAAAAGAAAAACCTGTCCTCTTAAAACTACTTTAGCTGTGTCTCAGAGATTCTGGCATGCTGTATCTTTGTTTTCATTAGTTTCAAAGAATTTTTAAATTTCTGCCTTAATTTTGTCTTTTACTCAAAAGTCATTCAGAAGCAGCTTGTTTAATTTCCATGTAATTGTGTGGTCTTGAGAGATCTTCTTGTTATTGATTTCTATTTTTACTGTGCTGTGGTCCAAGAGTGTGATTGGTATGATTTTGGTTTCTTTGAATTTGCTGAGAATTGCTTTACAGCCAAGTGTGTGTTTGATCTTAGAGTATGTGCTGTGTAGATGAGAAGAATGTATATTCTTGTGTTGTTGGGTGAAGTATTCTAGAGATGTCTGTTAGGTCCATTTGGTCAAGTGTTGAGTTGAGGTCCTGAATATCTTGTTAATTTTTTGTCTCAATGATCTAGTGGGGTGTTGAAGTCTTCCACTATTATTGTGTGGTTATCTAAGTATCATTGTAGGTCTGTAATAATTTGTTTTATAAGTCTGGGTTCTCTGGTGTTGGGTGCCTATATATCTAGGACAGTTAAGTATTCTTGTTGAATTGAACCCTTTCTCATTATGTAATGCCATTCTTTGTCCCTTTTGATCATTGTTGGTTTAAAATCTGTTTTGTCTCAAATAAGAATAGCAACCTCTGCCCTTTTGTGTTTTCTGTTTGCTTGATAGATATTTCTCCGTCCCTTTATTTTGAGCCTATCGGTGTCATTGCATGTGAGATGGGTCTCTTAACAACACATAGCTGGGTCTTACTTATTTACCCAACTTGTCACTGTGTGCCTTTGAATTGGGGCATTTAGCCTGTTTGCATTCAAGGTTAGTATTGATGTGTGTGTGTTTGATCCTGTCATTGTGTTTTTACCTGGTTGTTATGTAGACTTTATTATATAGTTGCTTTATAGTTTCAGTGGCCTTGTACTTGAGTGTATTTTTTTGGTGGAAAGTACTTGATATGGTTTGGGTGTCCCCACCCAAATCTCATCTTGAACTGTAGCTCCCATAATTCCCATGTGTTGTGGGAGGGACCCAGTGGGAGATAACTGAATCATGGGGGTGTTTTTCCCCATACTGTTCTCGTGGTAGTGAATAAGTCTCACGAGATCTGATGATTTGATAAGGGGTTTCCCCTTTCACTTGGCTCTTATTTTCTCTTGCCTGCTGCCATATAAGACATCCCTTGTTCTTCCACCATAATTGTGAGGCCTCCCCAGCCATGTGGATCCATGAGTCAATTAAACCTCTTTCCTTTATAAATTACCCAGTCTTGGGTATGTCTTTATTAGCAGTGTGAAAACAGACTAATACAGTACTGCTTTTTCATGTCCATGTTTAGCACTCCCTTAAGGACATTTTGTAAGGCAGGCGTGGTGGTAAGAATTCCCTTATCATTTGCTTGTCTGGAAAGGATCATATTTCTCCTTCACGTATGAAGTTTAGTTTGTATGGATACGAAATTCTTGGTTGGAATTGCTTTTCTTTAAGGATGCTGACTATAGGTCCCCAACCTCTCTGACTTGTAAGGTTTCTGCTAAAATGACCACTGTTAGCCTGATGGAGTTCCCTTGCATTTGACATGCCTCTTCTCTCTGGCTGCCTTTAAGACTTTGGAGGATCTGTCCAATGGTTTACTGATATATATTGACCTTGTATGTTGCAAATTTGGTATAATCACTTATTAGTTTTAGTAGCTTTTAAAGTTCTGTAGTATTTCGTATGTAGGTGATAATAATGTCTGTCAATAAAGATAATTTTATTGCTTTCTTTCTGATGTGTATACTTCTTATCTGTTTAGTTTGCCTCACTGTACTGGCTAGAACCTCTGGCACGATGGTAAATGGAATTTTGAAAGTAGGCATTCTTGCTTTTTCTCAATCTTAGGAGGAAAACATTCAGCTTTTCATCATTGTCCTGTTAATTGTAAGGTTTCCATAGATGCCCTTTATCAGGTTGAGAAAGTTTCCCTTTTCCTCAGATGCTGAGAGTTTTTCATCATGAATATATATTAAATTTTGTCAAATGCCTTTTCCACATCTATGAAGATGATTATAGGGTTTCTTTTTTTTTTAATACGAGGAACTTCATTGATTGATTTCAAATGTTAACTCAACCTTGCATTCCCAGGGATAAACCTCACTTGGTCATAATGCATTATCCTCCTTTCATATTGCTGAGCTTTATTTGCTAATATTTGTTTAGGATTTTTGTGTATATATTCATGAAAGATATTGGCCTGTTGTTTTCATTAAAGTCTGTCTGATTTTGGTATCTGTATAACAATGGCTTTTTAGCTTTGCTAAGATGATTCCATAGCAGCCTGTTGTGTAGGACTAATTTATCCTCTCTACTGAATGTCTTACTATTGAAGATTTTATCCAATTCCCTGGCAACAACTTTTGTAGCTTAGGTTTCCCAGAAAAAAAAGACTCTACAACTAAGATTTACGTGTAGGTGATTTATTGGGAAGTGCTCTCGGGAACAATACAGTAAAGGAGTGAAAGGAATAAGGTGGAACAAAAGAAGTTGAACTGTGATGTAACTGTAACAGAGATTTCATTGGATTCTTTATGTACCTCTGAAACTGAGATGACCCTTAAGAGAAAACTCAACTGAGGCCATGGAATTGAATAAACCCACTGACAAAACACTGGATGTGTGGTGTCATGTTGGTCAAGGCAATTCCTGTAAACCTCTGTAGGCAACACTTCTGGCATTTGGGGGAAATTAGTGACTATCTTGAGGAGAAATCTGAAAGGCAGACTGGAATATCTCTTACAAGTAGCAAGTGAAAAAAATGATAAAAAAGAGAAATTAAAAAAAATTTTTTTTTTGAGTAGCGAAGTCCTGATAAGGCAAAGTTTAGACCCAGTGAATAGGTGGACGTATTGACTTCACTAGAGGAACATGGACAGTTCATTTATTGCCAAGGAGTGAAATGAGAGTATATACATCCTGATACAAGTAGATTTTCTGATTTACTGCTGGAAGAGTGAGGATTTTTTTTCTATTTTATTTTTTCAGTGAAATAATAATGATTATTGATTGAGAGTGATGTGGGGCATTGTGTGCTGGAGAAGAAAGAAGGTCTGAAATAGTCATCATAAAGAGTAGGAAACTTAATTTTCCCCCAACCATGTTAAGCTGCTCTGAATAGGCAGGGAATTAGATTTAGCCATGGTTAGGATTTTTCAGATACATACAATAAAGAGAGAAAAGAAAGTGATCATGGTGTGTGAGTATCACTATAAATTCTAAATTATTCCTGGCAATAGAAAAAGATAAAACATTCATTTTTTGAAGCTAATATAATGCTGATCCCTAAATCCAATTAAGATAATACCAATTTTTTAAAAAAATCAATCATCTCATATGTCAATGTATGTCTAGATATTTTTATAAGAGAGTACAGCAATTTAATAAGTGGATAATATCTATAACCTAGTAGAATCTACTCCAGGAATAGAAAGGTGGTTAAACAGCAGCAACTCAATCAAAGTAATTCACTGCATCAATAAATTAAGGAACAAAAAGCTATATTAGTAAATCAATAGATGCTGAAAATCTGTTTGTGGCCTAAATACATTTTCCATTTCTATTATGATTATCTGACTGAGACTCCACTAGGATGAGAAACTTAACAACTAACCTTGATGTGGTTAGCACCATGATCTCTCCATCCAGTTCAGGCAGCCTGTTTGCTCTTTAAAGTTTTATTTGATCAATTTCCATATCCATAAAATGGAGATGATAATAATGAATAAAGATAATAATGCCTAAATTATGTTATTACTTAAATGATGTAACACATTCAAAATATACCGTAAGAATGTAAACACGATACATATTATATGTATCTTGTATTACATTTGTAATAATTGAAACAGATTTATTTGTATAAATTAAAGCCTTATACAAATCTGTAGTTGCTATTATTATCACAGATATGGGAATTATTATAATTTACAAAAATAATTATTTATCTCTATAGTTATCTTGGATTTTTAGGCTTACTACCTGAATTTTACCCATTTAATGCTGCCTCAAAATTATATTACAACATGAAATTTTATATTTATCTCACTAGCCTAAAGTAGTTTCCCTGCTGAATAGCCCACAAGTACCTAAAATGCAGGACTTAAAATTTTATACACTGTGTTTAAAACTGAATTGATGGCTATTCTAGACTGTAACTGTTGAATTTTAACTTAATTATACATTAGATAGTTTTGATTTGAAATATAAAATTGCATGGCTTATATCTGAATTATCAAGTTCCTCTAGAGCCAAGTTTGCAGAGCACCCACTGGACTGCCTGGCATAAGATTAATCTCATATTATTTCACAAAGCTATAGGAAAATGTAGTATGGGAGAAAAACATATTTGGAAACCTAAACTCATATAATAAAAAACATTTATTTTCAACTTTTAGAAAAAAATTTTAAATTTTTTATTGTTTTATTTCAATTCAAGATGGTATTAATCCAATTGCTTAAAATTTTTATGGTTACTTATTAATATTGAAAGTATCATACTTGATTCTTAATCTTGGAATATAATAGCTGTAAGGGACCTCCATCTTACAGAGAGACAAACTGAGAGCCAAGATGTGAAGTGCCCAGGGTCATAGAGCTTAGTTAGTGCACATCTAGTACTAGATCCTAATTTTCCTGATCGTTATCACATCTCATCCCATTTTATTTTGCATCAAATTCTTCTCAAACCTGTCATGTTTCCTATAGGACTAGGCTCAACATGCATATGTTTTATACATATTTGGATTTTATTGGTTTGTTTGTTTGTTTATTTGGGGGGTAGTCCAGAGAGTCAGGTAAAATACTTTGGAAAATTCAGGCTTTATATGCTGTTAGACCAGCTCCTAACTCACACCATTTGTCTTTGTCCTTAGAACACTTCATTTCCTTCTTTTTTGTTTCAGATGCTTGAACCCTTATTTATATGAAAAGTACCTGGATATAATAATGACTTGGCTATAGAAATCCCTTAGAGCAGCTCTATGATCATTGAAATAATCAAGTCCCTTTAAGAAGAATCATTTTCTGAATAATAGTATTCCCCAATGTTCTGGATCAAATCACCTTAAATGGATGAGACCTTAACATTCGGAAAGATCTTCAAACATAGAAGGATACAAAGATGGGAAACATGTTTGTGTTATATATTTAGGCCTTCTGGGTTTTCTCATCATAGCAGACTTGAAGTAAACATTTGAGGATTGGCAAAAATAGTACCACTCTACACAGACTGAATACCTGAATCAGATACTACTTTTTTTTTTCTTGTTGTGATTTTTGACCTAATTCTTAATTCTTAATCATTATGTATAAATAATATATATTATATCTCTCTATCTATACCTGTAGATATAGCTATATTTGTGTATACAACAGAGTTGTTTGACCAAAGTTTACATAGCCTTAGGTGGCACAGTTGTTGAGTCTATAGGATCTTCTTTAAGGGTTGTGGAGGAAGAATGGTGTGGTTTGGCTAGATTTTATACACATGTTATGGTAAATCACATGCATTGTTATCAAAAAAGACATCTAGAAAATTGAGCTTTTAAAAATTGGGATAATATGCTATTACATATAAAGTCTTCATAATCTAAAAGTCTGTATAATGAACAAAATACCTGTATGCTGTACTTTAATATGTAAAATAAATCTTTTAACATAAAAATTTAGTTTGAAGTGCCTTATGGAGTTTTCTTTTAAAGAAAGTCTCAGCACTTAAAAAAAATAAATTTCGGAACTATTTGGCAAGATGCCTAACAAGCCCCATTTTATTTGCTTTGGAGAATATGAATTTTCTATATTTTGATTTATTTGCTTAACATAAGCCAACTTGAAGTTAAATATATTATTAAACCTATCTTTAACAATTGATCTCTAAAGTACGTACATTGTATATACTTTTATAAAGTATATTAATATTCATTATTTTATTATGGAAAAGTTCAAACATACAGAGATAGGGAGAATAGTATAATACCAGTCACCCAGCTTCATCAATGTTCATCATTTTGCCAATCTTGTTTCATTTATCTGCCTTTTTTTTTTTTTTTGAGACGAAGTCTCGCTCCGTCGCTCAGGCTGGAGTGCAGTGGCCAATCTTAGCTCACTGCAAACCCCGCCTCCTGGGTTCACGCCATTTTCCTGCCTCAGCCTCCTGAGTAGCTGGGACTACAGGCACCCGCCACCATGCCCAGCTAATTTTTTGTATTTTTAGTAGAGACGGGGTTTCACCGTGTTAACCAGGATGGTCTTGATCTCCTGACCTCGTGATCTGCCTGCCTCGGCCTCCCAAAGTGCTGGGATTACAGGCGTGAGCCACTGTGCCCGGCCTATCCGCCTTCATTTTTTTTTTTTATCTGGAGTATTATAAAGCTCAAGAACAACAATATTAATAATTATTAATATCATTTGCTATACAGCTCATATTAAAATTTCCTCAATTGTGACATAAGCAACATTTCTAATGTGGCAGGCTGAATCTTTATACAAGCTGGCAGATGAAAGATGTTGAGAAGGGGTGAAATGGAGCTGGGGCAGAGGGTTCACACTTATTCCAGCTGCTTGTTAAACATCAGCAGAAGCAAGGTTCAAGGCTTAAGAATCCTTACTCTTCAATCCTTACCAGAGCAACCAAAAGATACTTGGGTGAGTTATGTGCCTTTGGGCCCTTGTGGGGAGTGGTTGGTGATGGTAAGGGCTATATAAAAGTCTGAGCAACAGTTCATCCTGCAACATTGTTGCTGGATAGTGTTCCCTGGTAAACTGACTCCCAACCGTGACTAGGATATCGGAGGGCTTATTAGGGAGGGCATTGAGATCAACACCTCTAGAAGGGAAGTCATAGGAAGGAAGCAGGATTGGACCGAGGGAGAAGCTGAACTGGCAGGCTGGCTCAACAGAGGCCTCTGCCAATTCCATGGCAAGTTCTGATCTGGGATGATGGGCTCTTTGATCAGTCACTGGAGGCAAGTCATTCTTAATGGGGTGGACATTGGGTGAAAAGGCTCTCTTCAACTAAGGCGATCCCTGTAGGGGCTGACAACAAAGAGCTTTCCATTAGCAGCTCTTCCAGCCGCTTGGAGAATAAACTCTTCCTCTCTGAAGCAGAATCTGGGCAGCACAACAGAGCATCCACTACAAACATTCTTAACAGGAAAGTCTGTTCCTACATTTTAGTTTTTTCCCAAGTAGGAAAGATATTAAGTGCTTTTATGTGCCGGGTATTTTACATGTAGTACCTTTAATTTTTATATCAACTCTATAAGACAGCTATTATTATTTTTAAGATGAGGAATCTGAGAGTTTAGGTAGCTTGTCCAAGGTTATACAGCTAGTATAAGCAGAAGAATTGAGATTCCAACCAATTTCTGTCCAGTTCCCCAGCACTTTTCATGAAGCAGTTCCCAGCCTCTCGCTACACTGCTGTGTTAGAGCACCAGTAATTATAGCCTCCAGACAGCACATCCATTATTCTTCTAAATTTGTTTTTACCTTCCAGTCAGGTTAACAATATATGTTTTTTAAATTTCAAGTCATGTTTACTTAAGACCTTCCAAACCTATTTACATTTCAAGTGGAACCACTCGAGGTGGAGTAGTTTCTCACAGATTGTTCCATGTTCTCTATACTTCTTTAAAGCTTTGTTGAAACCAGGAGGTAGAAAAACTAACCAAAGACATATCACCGTGTCTGTGATGATTTCTCTTGTGGATTTGCAGTACTTTGGAGAAGAGGCACTAGGTAATCAGTATGAATCATTGTAACTATTATTCCTAGCCTTTTAAGCTACTGAATGGGAGTAAGAGAAGCTGAGTTCTATTCATATTTCTTCCAGAATTTCTCCCTGGGAGATCTAGGAAAGCCACTGTGTGCTTTCATTTCCTTACTTGAAATTTTCTTTTATGATACCTACTTTTACTTATTTGACAATTGCAAGGATAAATTAGGTGCTTTGTGAATGCTTTGAAGCAACTCCTTAAGAACATGATGTTACTTAACAATTTCTATTAGCTAATCAAATTTGTTCAATCTAACACCTCTGTTGATTTTGTCAGAGAATATAAGAATTTATAGAAATATATTTCAGATAAACTTTATAAGCAAACTCATTAAAACATTACAGAGCATTTTTATCATCAGCCCAAATGAAATGATTGAGTTTGAATATTAGAAAGGTATTTGGAAGTTGTGATAACCAAAATGAGACCCCTGAAAGATGCCCACATCTTAATGCCTGAAAGTTTGTAAAATGTTACCTTCTGTAAAAAAGAGATTTTGCAGGTGTGAGTAAGCCAAGGATTTTAAGATGGAAAGATTATCTTGGGTAATCAAGGTAGGCTGAGTATAATCACAAGTGTCCTAATAAGATGAAGGTGGAAATCTCAGAGTAGGAGAGAGATTTGAAAATGATATGCTGCTGGCTTTTGAAGGTAGAGGAAGAGGCCATGAGCCCAAGGAATGCAAGTCTCCTCTAGAAGCTGGAAAAGGCAAGAAAACAGATTCTCCTAGAGCCCCTAGAAGGAATGCATCCCTGCTGACACTTTTAGTCCACCTTGATTTTCATAGTTCTGACTTAGAGAATAGTAAAATATTGTGAGTGTTTGAAGCCAATAAATTATGAAAATTTGTTACAGCAGCAATAAGAAACTAATACAACAGGACTGTAATCTCATTTAACCACTGGATTTTGGTCAATGTGAAATAATAAATTGTCCTTGTTGTCAAGTCTGAAAACCTCACAGTGGAAGGTGGTGCTGGGGGCAGGGGAGCTGACTCATGTGCCTGGCTGCCTCTGTCCCTCTCCATATAAATGTAGTCTCAATTGAGTTGATAAGCTCTTTCCTAGGAGATTTATCTGATTACCACTTCTTGGTTACGTAAAGTGTGGTAAGAGCAGTTATGGTCTTTTGAAATTTTTTTAGGAAAGCCTTCTAATTGAGATTTCTGTTCTGTGACAGGATGATTATCTGCCCCCTTTAGCATATCTTGGTCCTGATACCTTTATCTACTCCAAGTGGCTGATGGAGATCTCTCTTCCTCTTCTGAATTTCTCCTGCTGCTTCATGTTGAGAACCTTTTAGGGACCTTTTCTTACCCACTTTTCTTGGATTAGTTCTAGTGTCAAGATTCTTTACTTCTGAACCAAGGTTGTTCAGCACCACTGGAGAAAATCACACAACCATATGGATGTATTTTAGAAAAAAATATTATCTATAATTAGGTATGTGTTTGTATGTGTGTGTGTCGGGGGGCTCTTGATGGGGGAGTGAGAACTCTGGTAGTTTTTTCCTGACTCAGAGGGATATAAGCATATAAAAGGCTTTTTGCATGTAACTAAGGCCCCCAGTCAGTTGGATTTAAGGTTATTGAGGGTAGATTTTACTGGATGGGCTTGACCTAATTAGGTAAGCCCTTTAAAGAGAGATGGTCTCCTGCTGGGCTAGAAGAAAGCAAAGAATCATTTTGTAAACTGCCTATGGAGAGAGGCAGCTTATATAAACTGACGGCCTGAGTCCTACAGCTGCAAGGAACTGAATTCTTCCAATGACCTGAGTAAACCTGAGAGAGAACCCCAAGCTCTAGATCAGAATCATAGAACCATAGTCCAGCCAATACCTTCAGTGCAGCTTTGGAGGCTTTGAGCATAAGACTGAGCCAGGCCCAGACTCCTGACTGATGAAAAGCAGGAGAAACTGACTGAGTGTTGTTTTAAGCCACCAAGATGTTATGCATATTTTGGTACCAAGAGGCATACCTAAAATATGGGAGCAGCTTTGGGATTAGACAGTAGACAAAGGCTAGGAAATGTTTGCAGAACATGATAGAGGAAGCCTATGTCTTAGTCCATTTTCTGTTGCTGTAACAGAATACCACAGACAGAGAAAATTATAAGCAATAGATGTTTATTTAGTTCATGGTTATGGAGGCTGGGAAGTCCAAGAGCATGGTGCCGTCATCTAGTGAGGCTCATTCCATGACAGAAGGCATCACAAGGCAAGAGAGCAAGAGTGTGCATGTCAGCTCAGAGCTCTCTCTCTTCCTCTTCTTATAAAGCCGTTAGTTCCATCATGGGGACTGTACCCTGATGACATTATCTAACCCTAATTAGCCCCCAAGACCCCACCTCTAATCAACACATGAATTTAAGGATTAAGTTTCTAACACATGAAATTTAGGGGACACATTCAAACCATAGCAGCCTGAGTTGCCATGAACAGACCCTTAGTAGAAATCTGAACTTTGAGAGCACTGCTGTTAGGCTCAGAAGTGAGGAGCATGTTATTGGAAATTAGAAGGAGAGGGATCCTTTTTATATACTTGCAGAACTATTAGCAAAATTGTGCATTCTGCCATCTTATGGAAAGAAGAACTTGTGGGCAATGAACTTGCTTGTATGTAGTGCTAAGGAGATTTCAAGCAAAGTATTGAAGTTGCTACTGGTTTTCTCTTACTGCTTGTAATAGAATGCAAAAGAGAGATAAGTTGAAGGAAGACATGTTAAAGAAAATGGATTAGGATTACGTGACTGAAAATTCGCAGCCTCTCCAGATGGCAAAAGATGCTAAAATTCAGAAATGGCTGCCAAAAGTATGGCATTGAGAAATAGCCATACTCAAAAGTATGGCATTGAGAGTGTGTGACTTTTGCTAAAAATATCAGAAAGATCAAAATGTCAGCGTATTCAGTACAAAGGCTCTTTTCAAGAGATTAAGGGTGTGCCTCACTGATTTTTTCACACAAACCTGAGGGCCTCTAGGAGGCTGAAGGGCATTGTCCTCTAGCCCTCTCAGCAGGAAGCCAAGATATAGAAAAGGGACAATCTTAAAAACATCTGTGGATGTGGCTTTTCTTTTATGGTGTGAATCCCTGTGAAATCCATGGAAGACCCACAAAGTTCTTGAGAAATTTATTGAAGCAGAAACACTGCCAGCTTCATCTAAAAAGGTCAGAGACAATACTACAAAAGGAAAGGAGATGGTTAAGTCCCCAAAATTCTACCAGCAGGAAGCAGTCTGATAAAACCACTAAGCTACAAACATGTGTTACCTTTCATGAAAAAGGAAGGATGACTCAGAGGGCAGAACCAAGAAGGATGGAGCCTTCAGAGAATGGAGCTGAGAGCCAAGGAGGATTATTCTCTGCCCTTGAAACCTAATCAAGAAACTCCCATTTACTCCCTGGATTTCAGAACTCCTTTGAAACAGTGACCCCTGTGACTCCTTTTTACTTTTCATTTTCCCCCATTAGAACTGTGATGTCTATAGCTGTTGTGCTGTGCCTATCCTACCATTATAGGTTGGGGGGTTTGAAGAAGGATGGCTTGTCTCTTTCATTTCATGGGTCCATATATGGAAGGATTTGTGCCCCAGGAGCTGCACTTAATGGATTGCAATGAAGAGCCTCATCCCCACCTAATTTAGTTGATGCCATTTTAGACTTGGAGCTCATCTATATTATTTACCACTATGTCCTCTATTTCTTGCACATAGTGCCCAATGAATAACAGCTTACTAAATATTTATAATTATTTGTGACCTTTATTAGACTGAATTAGAACCCATAATTCTGATCAATTTAGAAATAATACAGGGATTAATTTTTGTAATTCTTTAAGAATAAGAGTATCATTTATGGATAATGGTTAATTTTTTCAAGTAAATGACATTCTAAGGAAACTTGATTGGGTATCCAAATATATTTTTCCAGAATGAACAACTCTTCCTTCTCACTGCACACCTTCTTTAAATTTTACAGTTATATATTTTTAACTTGAAATCCCATAATTGACCTAGAAGGTTGTTATAATAATATGATATTTATTCAGGTCTGAGAGAGAATATTATAGAGTCAGAAGGGTTCCTGGTAAAAGCAGTGGTAATGAATGTAATTAATTTCAAGTTTGAAAAATTTCAAGATATAGCAACAAGGAGATTGCAGTAGTGTAAGTAAGTACAGACTATTATTGTTTGTGCTAAAAACAGAAATTGGTTAGGAATTAATGGAAAAAGTTAGTCTTGTAAGGGATGTTAGTGGTCAGAAAAGCAAAATGTGTCATTATTAGGATAAGAAGAAATTATGTATTCATTCAGGTTATAAGTGTAGATTGAAGTAATGTGTATCTGGTACTATTGAAATTTAAAATAGAGAAAATACAAGTTTATCTTATATATCATACATAGTTATTAACATGAATTTCTTAAATTGGTCTCTATTTTTTCTCTAAATATGTACATATATTATTAATTTTATCATTTATTTTTATAAAAAATGGGATAATTTTATATAGAGTATTATAACTTAATTTTTTTTTCACTGAGCAATCAATTTTGGGCGTCTTTCTGTATCAGCACGTATGCGTCTATACAATTCTCTTTAATTGCATTGCATAAATATATTAAAAATTATATACCTGTTCTGCTATTGGTTGGTATAATTTCAGTGTATCCAGTTTTTAGCTTTGTAAACAGTGCTGTAGTAAATATTTTTGTATGAACCTTTTGGCAAATTTCTGTGAGCTCAACAATTTCACATGTAGGTATGAACTCTAGAGAAGTTTTCATTCAATGTACATAGAAGTTTTGATTGCAATCCTGTTTGTAATGGTGCAAGACCAAAACAAAACAAGTACAATCCAAATTTTCATCTCTAGAGAACCGAGTGAATAAGTGATGAAATATCCATATCTAGAAAACTATAAAATGTAGAAAACATATCATTAACTATATCTAGAAATCTTGCAAACATGATCTTGACTGACAAAAGTGGCAGAGGGTAAGTACATTATTTGGCTATTAATGTAATTTTAAAGTGCATGCAATAGTACAATATATTGTCTATGAGAAAATACACAGTAAAAATGTTTTAAAGTGGGTGGGAAAGATATCCAGGCATACCTCATTTTATTGCACTTTATTTACCTTATTGCACTTCATAGGTAATGACAGTCTTTTTACAAATTGAAGGTTTGTGGCAATGCTGCATTGATTAAATCTATTGGTGACATATTTCCAACAGCATTTGCTCTGTGTTCCATTTTGTTAATTTTCATCCTATTTCAAACTTTTTCATTTTATTATATCTGTTATGGTTATCTGTGATCAATGAGCTTAGATACTACTATTGTAATTGTTTTGGGGTGACACAACTGTGCCCATTATAGGATAGTTAACTTAGTAAGTGTTGTGTGTTTTCTGACTGCTCCACCGACTAGCTATTCCCCTATTTCTCTTCCTCTCCTCAGGCCTCCCTACTCCCTGAGACACAACAATATAGAAATTAAGCCAATTAATAGCCCTGCAATGGGCTCTTAAGTGTTCAAGTGAGAGGAAGAGTTCCACATCTCCCACTTTAAAATCAAAGCTAGAAATAATTCAGCTTAGTGAGGAAGGCATATTGAAAGCCAAAATAGGCCAAAGCTAGGCATCTTATGCCAAACAGTTATCCAAATTGTAAACGCAAAGGAAAAGTTCTTGAAGAAAATTAAAAGTGCTATTACAGTGAACACACAAAAGATAAGCAAGGCAAAAAACCTTACTGCTGATGTGAATAAAGTTTTGGTCTCCTGGTTAGAAGACCAAATCAGCCACAATATTCTCTTAAGCCAAAAGCTAATAAAGAACAAGGCTTAACTCTCTTCAATTTTATGAAGGCTGAGAAAGGTGAAGAAGCTTCGGAAGAAAAGTTTGAAACTAGCAGGTTGGTTCATGAGGTTAAAAGAAAAAAACTGTCTCCATAGTACAAAACTGTAAGGAGAAGCAGCAAGTATTGATGGAGAAGCTGCAGAAAGTTATTGAGAAGATCTAGCTAAGGTAATTGATAAAGGTGGCTGATATGGTCTGGCTCTGTGTCCCCACCCAAATCTCATCTTGAATTGTAATCCAAATTGTAATACCCACGTATTGAGGGAGGGACCTCATGGGAAGTAATTGAATCATGAGAGCAGTTACCTCCATGCTACTCTTCTCATGATAGTGAGTGAGTTTTCACAAGATCTGATGGTTTTATAAGAGGCTTTTCCCACTTTGCTCAGCACTTCACTCTCCTGCCACCATGTGAAGAAGGACATATTTGCTTCCCCTTCCACCATGATTGTAAGTTTCCTGAGGTCTCTCCAGCCATGTGGAACTGTAAGTCAATTAAACCTCTTTCCTTTATAAATTACTCAGCCTCAGGCAGTTCTTTGTAGCAGCATGAGAGCAGATTAGTAACGTGGCCACATTAACAACAGATTTTCAATGTAGATTAAACAGTCTTGTATTGGAAAAAGATGCCATGTAGGACTTTCATAGCTAGAGAGGTGTGAAGTTAATGCCTGGCTTCAAATCTACAAAGGACAGGCTGACTCTTTTGTCAGGGGTGAATGCAGCTGGTGATTCTAAGTTGAAGCCAATGCTCATAGACCATTCTGAAAATCATAGGGCCCTTAAGAACTATGCAAAATTGATTTTGCTTGTACTCTAAAAATGGAACAATCAAGCCTGGGTGGATGAAAGCACATCAGTTTATGGCATAGTTTACTGAGTATTTTAAGCTCACTGTTAAGAACTACTGCTCAAAAGATTTATTTCAAGGTATTACTACTCATTGACAATGCACTTAGTCACCCAAGATTGCTGATGGAAATGTACAAGGATATTAGTGTTGTTTTTATGTGTGCGAACACAGCATCTATTCTGCAAGCCCGTGGATCAAGGATTAACTTAGACTGTTAAGTCTTTTTTATGAAATATATAATGTAAGACTATAGCTGCCATAGATAATGATTCCTTTGATGGATCTGGGAAAGGTAAATTGAAAACCTTCTAGAAAGGATTTACCATTCTACTTGCTATTAAGAACATTTGTGATTCATGGGAGGAGGTCAACATATCAACATTAACATTAACAGGAGTTTAGACCAAGTTAATTCCAACCCTCATGGATGACATTGAGAGGTTCAAGACTTCAGTGGAAGAAGGAACTGAAGATGTGGTAGAAATAGTGAGTGAATTAGAAATGGAGCCTGTAGATGGGACTGATTGGCTGCAATATCATGATAAAACTTGAACAGATGAGGAATTGTTTCTCGTGGATGAGCAAAAAAAAAAGTGGTTTCTTGAGACAAAATCAACTCCTGAGGAACGTTGCTGCTTAAGTTTTGATATAAAAATCATATAGAGGATGCTTACATGCAACAGATAATATCCAAAAAATGCATAAGAAAAAAATTTCCTCCCGAGAGGATTTAAATCTAATCTTTGAATTAAAAGTAAGAACTAAAATAATTGTAGAAGAAAAGACAACATACAATGAGGCCTCATCAATCCTGTGAACAATCCCTCAGCAATCCTGTGAATGTTGTTGAAATGACAACAAAGGATTTAAAATATTACAGAAACTTAGTTGATAAAGTAGTGGCAGGGTTTGAGAGGATTGACTCCGATTTTGAAAGAAGTTCTGCTCTGGGTAAAATGCTGTCAAACAGCATCACATGCTATAGAAGAATTGTTCATGAAAGAAAGATTCAATTAATGTGGCAAAGTTCATTGTTGTCTTATTTTAAGAAATTGCCGGCCGGGCGCACTGGCTTACACCTGTAATCCTAGCACTTTGGGAGGCCGAGGCGGGTGGATCACAAGGTCAGGAGATTGAGACCATCCTGGCTAACACGGTGAAAACCCGTCTCTACTAAAAATACAAAAAATTAGCTGGGCATGGTGGCAGGCGCCTGTAGTCCCAGCTACTCAGGAGGCTGAGGCAGGAGAATGGCGTGAACCCAGGAGGCGGAGCTTGCAGTGAGTTGAGATGGCACCACTGTACTACAGCCTGAAGGAGAGTGTGAGACTCCGTCTCAAAAAAAAAAAAAAAAAAAAAAAAGAAAAAAGAAAGAAATTGCCATTGCAACCCCAATCTTCAGCAACCACCACCCAGAATAGTCAGCAGCCATCAATACTGAGGCAAGACCCTCCACCAGCAAAAAGATTATAACTAATTGAAGGCTCAGATGATTGTTAGCATGTTAGCAATAGAATGTTTTTAAATTAAGGTATGTACATTGCTTTTATAGATATAATGCTATTGCACACTAAGTAGAATATAGTATAGTGTAAGTATAATGTTTATATGCCCGGGTGAAATGAAAAAAGTTGTGTGACTTATTTTATTGTGATATTAGCTTCATTGATATGGATCAAAATCACAATCTCCAAGGTATGCCTGCATATCAACTTTATTTTAAAGATCACAGCTAGGGAACAAGAGAAAGAAATGGATACGGATAAGGTTTTAGAGGATCTGCAACTGAATTTGGATTTTTTTTTTCTTAAAAAAAATCATAGAAAACTGTATTGTACTTTGAAGAAAAATGTGTTGGGCTATGTGAAAAAAAACAACATATCTATTGAGGTAACGTGTGGTATTCAGACACTCAAGTGAACATTAGATAATGTTATATTTTGCTTGGAGATTATAAGAAATTAATATTACAGGAACAAAGAAAATAAGCAACTAGAACTCACCATAACTTTACAGTCAATTAGAGATCAATTCCTCTTCAGAAAGCAGTGAATTAAACATGAAACCACTTTCTAGCCTAGAAATAACCAAATTAGTACCCCAGGTGTACCTCAGCTGTATTACTGAATGCTTCATACTGTTTTATAAAATGTTTGCTTCAAGTAAATATTTCTATATCACGTAAAATTCTTCATTTTCTGAAGTACTGAAACACTTGACCGAGGCCTCATTGTATGTTGTCTTCTACAATTATTTTAGGTCTTACTTTTAATTCAAAGATTAGATTTAAATCCTCTCAGGAGGAAATTTTTTTCTTATGCATTTTTTGGATATTATCTGTTGCATGTAAGCATCCTCTATATGATTTTTATATCAAAACTTAAGCAGCAATACTTATCTTCACCATCCACAGAGATTTTTCTCTTTGTTTCCAGGGATGTTAGGCACTAGAGTATTGCAGAAATATCTGACTTTTGTTATTAACTATGTTATTTGTACAGGTTACCTAATTTTGCTGAACCTGTTTCTTTTTCTGAGAACAGGGAAAATAAAACCTACCTCATTGAATTATGTGAGGGTTATACAAGGATATAGCTATAAATCATCAAGTTAATATAATGCCTGCAACAAAATAGGTTTTCAGAAAATATTGATTCTGCTTTCTTTTCCCCACCATGCAACTGGAACGAGTAATATTAATTCTATGTGATCATCTTAACAAATTATTTGTTAATTTGTCAAGTACATAAATACTTGAATTTATGTGAAAACTAATGGTCATCACTGATTGAGAGATGTGGGGAGGTCTAGAACAAGTATTTGACATAAACATTGATTTAATGTGCAGAAAGAAGCTTCTAAAATATTGTGCAAAATCAACACTGATTTAAAAATCTAAGCCTTTGAGCCTGACTTGATAGAAGTCTCAATGAAGATCTGATTTTTAAAATGGCAATTTCTGATCTGAGCCAAAATGGCCAACTAGATGCAACTAGGAGGAACATCTTTCACTGAGAAACAAGAACATTGGGAAGACTGGTACACTCTAAGCAGATCTTCAGAGAGAAGGCATTGAGAGTGGATGGAGAGAGGATTCAGTTGCTGGGCTGAAGCGGGAGGAAGCTGGGAACGGTGCGCAGGGTTTCGGAGCACCAAGATTCATTACTGGTCCCCAGCAACTCCTAAGGAAGGGGTGAGTTGAACAGGGAAGGAGTGACCAGCTCTTGCCATGGACTTTGAGAATCCTAGCAGCAGGACACCCCACAATCCCCACAGACACTTGAGCTGGCAGGGAGAGCTGCCTAGATAGGTTGTAGGAGCAGAAGGTTTGGCATGGGAATGGCTGAAGTGGAGCATGGCCAGGGATACCCATACACCAAGGCTTGCCATGCTCCTCCAGGAGGCTTTAGCTTTTGGGCAACTGTTAGACCTGGATAGAGCAGGGTGGTCTTTCCCATGTGATGGGTCCAGTCCAATCTGAGTGCCCCTCTGTCTGGTGGCCTCTCCTGGGGCTCCAGCCTGGCCACACACTTGCAGTGCAGCCTGGCAAGCCCAACCAAGGTGCTTCCTCAGGGATCTCATCATAGCTCCTTCACTGGCAGTCTGTGCATGACTACTGGAGAGCTCCAGCAGACCAGCTCTTGTTGACACACACCAACCCACCTACAACCTCACCCACTACAGCCTCCCCACTGCTGCTTTGCTGGCACTTACTCAGGCATGGACCACTACCTCCCCTCCCCCCTTGACACACACACATTGCTTTACTGGTGCATGTGTGAGTAGACCTTGCCTCCCATCCCATGCTGGCATGCGTGTGTGTACCCCGCTGCCCCACTGCTGCCAGTGTGAGCACACTATGCTATCCTGCTCCTCCTGATGCTTGGGCATCCTGCTGCACTGCTGCTGGCGTGGATGTGCACATGGACTCTGACAACCCCATCTCTGCCAATGCCTTGCCCCTGCCCCACCGCTACGGTCACCAATGTGAGCATGCATACGAATACCGCCACTCCACTCCCACTGACCCCATCATGTGTGTGCATCCCCACTGCACTGCTGGCATGAATGAGTGAGCACAGATCTCTGCCATTGCTCTGATGAAGCACTTGGGCTTACACTCTCCATTGTAGCGTTGTGGCTAGCAGTCTAAGAATACCTCGGCCCCTCCACCACAGCAGGTTCTTAACTGCAAGGGGTCAGAGAACAAAGCTGGGGGCATGGTAAACGCCCATAAGAGTTAGAGCACACAGCCCAGCAGTGCTGAGCTGAGCCTTGGCCCCCTAAAGTCTTCCAGAAACAAAGCCTGTTGACTGAACCCACCTTATACTACAAACCTTCAAGGGCATCAGAGAGATAAAAGCAAAAAACCTCATCTAAAAGACGGCTTCTTCAAAGATTAAGGGAACATCAGCCTGCCTAGATAAGAAAATCAGTGCAAGAACTCTGGCAACTTGAAAAGCCAGATTGTCTTTGTATTCAGAATGACCACACTAGTTCTCTAGCAATGGTTGTTAACCAGGCTGAAATGGCTGAAATGACAGACATAGAATTCAGAATATGAATAGGAGCAAAAATCATCAAGATTCAGGAGAAAGTCAAAACCTAGTCCAAGGAATCTAAGAAATACAATAAAATAATACAGGAGCTGAAAGAGAGGAAATGGCCATTTTAAGAAGGAGTCACAATCATCTGATAGAGGTGAAAAACTCACTACAGAAGTTTTATGATACAATTTCAAGTATTAATAGCACAAATAGATCACACTGAGGAAAGACTCTCAGAGCTCAAATACTGGTACTCTGAATTAACTAATTCAAACAAAAATAAAGAAAAAAGAATTAAAAAAATGAACAAAACCTTCAAGAAATATGGGAGACCAAATCTATGACCCATTGGCATCTCTGAAAGAGAGGGAGAGAAAGCAAGAAACCTGGAAAATATATTTGAGGATATCATTCATGAAAATGTTTCCAACATCACTAGAGAGGTCGACATTCAAATTCAGGAAATGCAGAGAAACCCTGTGAGATACTATGTAAGACAACCATCCCCAAGACACACATTGATCAGATTCTTCAAGGTTGAATAAAAGAAAAAATGTTAAAGGCAGCTAGAGAAAAGGGACAGGTCACCTACAAAAGTGAGGTGAGAGAGTTGAACATCTCACTTACAGTGTTGTACCATTGAGACAGAAAACTAACAAAGATATTTGGGACCTAAACTTGACACTTGACTAAATGGACTTAATAGACATCTACAGAACTCTCCACTCCAAAACAATGTAATATACATTCTTCTGATCTGCACATGGCGCATATTCTAAAAGCAACCACACAATCGGCCAGAAAACAATTCTCAACAAATTCAAGAAAACAGAAATCTTACCAACCATACTCTCTGACCACAGCACAATAAAAATAGAAACCAATACTAAGAATATCACTCAAAACTGTACAATTACATGGAAATTAAACAACCTGCTCCTCAATGACATTTGGGTAAACAGTGAAATTAAATCATAAATCAGGAAATTATTTGATACTAAGGAGAACAAAAATAAAACATATCAGAATCTCTGGGACATAGCTAAAGCAGTGTTAAGAGGAAAGATTATAGCACTAAATGCCCACATCAAAACGTTAGAAAGATTTCAAATTAATAACCTAACATCACACCTAGAGGAACTAGAAAAACAAAAGCAAACTAATTCCAATGTTAGCAGAAGACAAGAAATAACCAAAATCAAAGCTGAACTGAATGAAATTGAGACATGAAAAGCCATGCTCCCCCCCAAAAAAAATCACTGAATCCAGGAGTTTCTTATTTGAAAGAATAAATAAGTTTGATAGACCCACTAGCCGGAATACTAAAGAAAAAAAGAGAGAAGATCCAAATAAACACAACCAGAAAAGACAAAGGGAACATTACTACTGACCCCCACAGAAATACACAAAACCCTCAGGAACTATTATCAACACCTCTGCATACACAATCGAGAACACCTGGAAGAAATGGATAAATTCCTGGAAACATGCAACTTCCCAAGATTGAACCAGGAAGAAACTGAAATCCTGAACAATTCTATGAGTTCTGAAATTGAATCAGTAACCAAAAGCCTACCAACCAGGAAAAGCCCTGGATCAGATGGATTCACTGTCACATTCTATCAGCTGTATAAGGAAGAGCTGCTACCATTCCTACAGAAAATATTCAAAAAAATTCAAGAGGAGAGACTTCTCTCCAGCTCATTCTGTGAGTCCAGCATCATCCTGATACCAAAACCTGGCAGAGATACAACAAAAAACAAATCTTCAGGCCAATATCCTTGATGAACATAGATGCAAAAATCCTTAACAAAATACTAGAAAACCAAATTCAGCAGCACATCAAAAAGCTAATCTACCATGATCAAGTAGATGTTACCCCTGGAATACAAGGTTGGCTCAACATACGCAAATAAATATGATTTGCCATATAAACAGAACTAAAAACAAAAACCACATGATCATCTCAATAGATGTAGAAAAGGCTTTTGATAAAATTCAACCTCCTTTCATGTTAAAAACCCTCAACAATGTAGGATTGAAGGAATATACCTCAAAATAATAACAGACATCTATGACAAACCCACAACCAACATCATACTGAATGCACAAAAGCTAGAAGCATAACCCTTGAGAACTGAAACAAGACAAGGATGCCCAGTCTCACCACTTGTATTCAATATCGTACTGGAAGTCCTAGCCAAGGAATCAGGCAAGAGAAATAAATAAAAGGCATCCAAATAAAAAGAGAAAAAGTAAAACTATTTCTGTTTGAAGGTGTGTGATTCCATATCTAGAAAACCATATAGTCTCCACCCAAAAGCTCCTAGAACTGATAAACAACTTCAGCAAACAGAGAACAGAGAATGCTTGTATACTGCTTGTGGGAATGTAAATTAGTTCAACCATTGTGGACGGTAGTTGGGCAATTTCTCCCAGAACTTAAAATGGAGCTACCATTTCACGCAGTAATTCCATTATTGGGTATATATCCAAAGGAATATAAATTGTTCTACCATAAAGACCTATGCGTGTGTATGTTCACTGCAGCACTACTCACAATAGCAAAGACATGGAACCAATATAAATGCCTATCAATGGTAGACTGGATAAAGAAAATGTGGTGAGATCATGTCTTTTGCAGCAACATAGATGGAGCTGGAGGCCATTCTCCTAAGCAAACTAACACAGGAACAGAAAACCAATTACCACATATTCTTACTTATATGTGGCTGCTAAACATTGAGGACACGTGGACACAAAGAAGGGAACAACAGATACTGGGTCATACTTGAGGATGGAGTGTAGGAGGAGGAGGAGAACTGAAAAACTACCAATTGGATATTAAGTTCACTACCTGGATGACAAAATAATTTGTACTCCAAACCCCTGTGACACACAAATTATCTATATAACAAAACTGCACATGTAACCTTGAACCTAAAATAAAAGTTAACAAAAACAAATAATTCCAATATTGGACCAAAGTGACCTGAAATGCTTCCCTCTTTAAAGTTCTGAGCTTCTTTTCTTCATGGATTATGGTTAGTGCAGTAGAAAACATCAAGCTCTGTTTGAGTGGGGACCCTATCCCTTAATTTTAAGCCTTTAGTAGATTACAGGGAAATACTGCTTTGGGAGATTTTGTATATTATCTTCTTATTCAGGATGATTTAGCTAATGACTCTCCTTTCCACCTTCCACCTTTACCCCCAAGTTTGTGGAGCAATTTGTAGGTTCTGTAATTACAGACTCTTTAGATACTAACGTGGGAGAGAAAGACTGTTTCAGCATTTCATGGTTTAAAAAATCCCTGACTCATATCCATTCCATGGCTATCTATCCTTCCTTATTCCTCTCACTCTTCTGCACTGGCTCAGAGATATATAACTGTACCTTCCACAGTATCTCATAGACTTCTCAATTGGGTTACTTTTCTTCTTTAAGAGTTTTCTTGATGTTATCCATGCAGTTGAATTTGGATCTCTTTTGGCTGTAGGCTGAGATGTGTCTTTAGGCACAGCTAGGTTGTATTGCTTAGATGAGCCCTTCTGGATTTGGTCTCTCTCTTTCTCTTCATATCTGGGCTTTGCTTTCTTCTGTGTTGGCATCACCCACAGGCAGTTTTTCTCTACATGGTTTCTACTAGCAGCTGAAGACTTACATTGTGACCCCACCATAAAAAATGTTTCTCAATTGTCCAAAAAGTCCCAGGATTGAGACACAGTAGACCATCGTGGTTCATTTGTTCAACCTTGAACCAGTCACTGAAGCTAACGTAAAGACATTCTAATTGGACAGTCTTCGGCCACCTGACTAATTCTGGCCCTAAAGGCCTCGGGTCAATTCCACTGCAACTACAAGGGTTTGGAGAGGAGGAGAGATGATCCCGCAAATAAAAATCAAGGTGCCTTTAGCAAATGAATTGTCAATGAATGCTAGGCAGTTAAAACAGCAATTGTTTACTTAAGAGTAATCTGCAAACTGGCCTGCAGAACAAACTGCTGCTGCTTGTTTGTGTAAGTAAAGTTTTATTGGAATACAGCCACATTAATTCTGTTATATATTGTCTATGACTGCTTTCATGCTGAATCAGTAGAGTTGAGTAGTAGAAACAGACAGCATATGGCCAGCAAAGCCTAAGATATTTACCATCTGGCCCCTTGATCTAATATTCTTGGTCTACTTCAAATAAAGTCAAAGAGCTTAGGAAAAAAGCATCCATAGCAACAGTATTAATAATGATGATTCCAGTCTTCCAAATCCTCTCATCTAAGGACCTTAAATGAGATGTTCAGATATTTGGTTACTGCATTGAATAATATCAACTTTCATTTAAGGAAAATATTAACAAACCCCAACCGGGTTTAATGATGAGGGCTATCCTAATTTTCCTTAAAAGAACTTCTAAATTCTAGAAAGCCTTGCTAAATTTTTGTTGATTATTTTTATACCTAGTATACTTCGTTTAGCTAGTAAAAATTTATGTGGCCTACAGAGGCTTTATTTTACATTGAAGCTCCAACTATTGTGAAAAATATATGCATGAATGTTTTATTGGATATAGAGCCTAATTTTTATAACTTTAAATGATGACAAATGTTTACAGCTGTTGAAGCTTTTTTGTGATATAAAGTCAGCTCTCTGTGTCCGTGGGTTCTGCATTCATGGATTCATCAACCATGGGTGGAAAACATTTGGAAAAAAATAGATGGTTGTGTCTGTCCTGAACATGTACAGACTTTTTTCTCATAATTATTCCCTAAACAATATAGTATAACAACTAGTTACATGGCATTTACATTGTATTAGTTATTATAGATAATCTAGAGATGATTTAAAGTATACGTGAGCATGTTCATAGGTTATATGTAAATACAACACCATTTTCTATAGGGACTTGCACATTTGTGAATTTTGGTATTCGTGGGACTGGGGCAGTGGTGTCTTGGAATCAATCCCCCATGGATACTGAGGGACAGCCATGTTATTGTTTATATCTATGATTTTTGATAATCATTGTTTTATAATTTAATTCCCAGCCATAATATAACTTTAGAAAGATAAAATGTGTTTATCATAGAGCATTTAGTAATGCAATGTGGCAGGATGCCATGTTCATTTGATCTGTCATTTATTCATTATTTTACAACTATTTAGTGAGAGTTTTATGTGTCAGACACTGTGCTAGACAGTGGGAATACAATGATGAACAAGACAGACATGAAACTTGCCCTCATTTTGCTTAAAATCTAATTGGAAATAAAAACATTTGTCTATTCATTTACTTCAGTTTGGTCATTAAGCCAACAAATATTTATTGAACATTTTCTTTGTGCCAGACACCATGATAGACATTGAGGAGACAATAAGAAAAAGACCAACTGCCTGTTTTCTTGGAACTCGTAATCTTTTTTGGAAGACAAGTATTTCACAATCATTTCATTATAATTGTGATCAGTGTAGGATTCTGCAAGAATGTGTGATAGGTGATTTGACCTAGTCATTCACAAGGAAAGATAAAAAAAACTGAGTCCTACAGGAACTGATGTAGAAACTGAGTCCTAAAGGAGCACTAGGGATCATCCAGGCAGAAATAAAAGGAACAGTGTTCTTGGTACATAGGCCCAGAGGTAAAAGGACAAGCTTGGCACATGCTAGGAACTGTACATATATGATTGGAACAGTGTTTCAGATGTGTGTGTGTGGTGGGGGGAGGTGGCCCTTAAATCTGGAGAGGCAAGCAGGAGTCAGATTATAAACAATCTTGCAACCTACATTAAGAGTCAGGACATACTCAGATTTTCATTTTAGTGAGACCACTAGGCTGAACTGTGGAAAATGGCTAGGAGACAGTAAATATTGGATATAGTGACACCTAGTAGGGAACTGTTACACTAATTCATGCCAGAGATTTTTGTGTCTCAAAAAAGATTATTGGCCATTGTGATGAAGAGAAATGTCTGCCTTCTCACTTTAGTTTCTCTGCCACTCTAAGACATAGCTCAAATGTCATCTCTTTTCTGAAGTCTTTTCTGCTCCTCCCAGATATTCCCACCTGTGTGCTCCAGAGTATTCTTCCTCTCCCCTCCCCTCCCCTCCCCTCCCCTCCCCTCCCCTCCCCTCTCCTCTCCTTTCCTTCCAACTCATAGTAAACATATCCTAAGAATCTGACACTGTTAGGTTATGGTTCCTGCCATAAAGCGGCTTACCTTTTAGTGGAGATCATAGTTCCATAGTTCAATGTGAAAAGTGCTTTGATGGAGACAGTTAGAAAGCCCTAAAGAGACATAGCTAGAAATTAGATGGAGGTGTGGGGAAGGGACTTGGGGCAGTTTTCAGAAAAGATTTATTGTATGATATGATATTGCTGAGTATGATGATGTATTTGAGGAGCTAAAAATTATTTTATGTGGCTGGAATTGATGATAGAAGTGGGAGTAGAAACGGTGAGAAATAAAATTAGATAATTCATCAGAGACTCTGTGTTTTAGGTGTTTTGTTTACACTACTGAAAGTGCTATCACAATTTCTTGATTCCATATTTGTTGTCAGGTGCTTCCAGGAGGCTGGGACATAGAGGTCAGGGATTGTGTAGGGTTAATTATGGAGTCTAAGTAGAGCTGGTAGTAGGATGCCAGGGTTTTACCAAAACACATCCTTAGGACAGAGGGGTCATCCAAATTAAAAACAAATTAGAGCATAACACTTAAATTAATGATCAAAGAAAAGAATGCAGCAGAGGAAGATAATCAAGGATAAGCAGCAAGACCAAAAGGGATTGCAGGATAAGGAAGATCCCTCAAATCTTTGAGATCTTTTAGCATTTATCTACAGAAGCTTTATAGTTGTTGTTGTATTTTAATTAGGCCCCCTATACACATGGGGTTAGTTAGTGATTGTGGGTAGGTAATGTGTCTTAAACATTTCAGTGAGGGTTCTTAGACCTAAGTGTGCAAAATAAATAACTGTGGTGATTGTTAAAAATAAAAATTTCTACATAACTTCAAACTTCAATTTTTTTTTTTTTTTGAGATAGAGTTTCACTCTGTCACCCAGGCTGGAGTGCAGTGGCCCAAACATGGCTAACTGCAACCTCCACCTCCCGGGTTCAAGCGATTCTCCTGCCTCAGTCTCCCAAGTACCTGGGATTACAGGTGCCAGCCACCATGCCCAGCTAACTTGTATATTTTTAGTAGAGACGGAGTTTCACCATGTTGGCCAAGCTGGTCTTGAACTCCTGACCTCAATTGATCTGCCTGCCTCAGCCTCCCAGAGTGTTGGGATTACAGGCCTAAGCCACCGCGCTTGATTGGAAATTTTGACTAAATATATCTGTGGGATAGGTAGGAATTTGAATTTTGAGCAAGCAGCCCTTATGATTTTGACACAAGTGCTAGTTATGTTTCTATGCTTTATGTAAACAACATGTCTGTGATTCTTAGGACTTTATCAAGACACTGAGAGAAATGTTACACTGGAAACTCAAGATAGAGAGCACTCAAGATAGATAGAGAGCACCATGAAACCACTAGGGATCTGTTAGGCTTTGAAGGGAAGGCGAGGGTAAAAGAGAGAGAGAGTTGCTGGCTCAACAACAACACAGGTTTATTGGACAAAAGACCTGCAGAAGGGGATACCAGCTAGCGCTGGAGCCCGCTGCCATTTGCATGCTGGAGTAATTATAGGTCCGAGCGGGAGGGGTCTGGGCTTGTTGTGAAATGGGGTGGACAGTGAGGTTAGCTGCTGAAAAGGGAGGAATTTTCTGCAGTTAGGCAGTTAGGCCTGGGACTTATCCAGCAGGATGTTTTTCACAGCCCAAGCCTTAGTGGAATTTTCCACTGTGACCAGGGTCTGTGGAATGGCGGGAGTTTACAAAATGTTGGGCTAACAGGATCTTCTTTATCTTACATTCACTGAACTAGGTTAGTTCATGCATTGACTATAGAATGCATGTTCCTTAGGCAAATTAGTTTTTATCTAATTGCTATTACTAAGCAATATCTAATTGCTATTACTAAGCAAACCACTGGTTTGGTTAACAGCTTGCTTGTCAAGCATTCCATGTAAAGCATTCATGAAAGTGTTGGACAAGCACTTGTTGAATAACAGAAATTATGAAAGATAGAAAGAAAAGAGTGAGGGAGAGAAGAAGGAAGAAAGAGAATGAAGAAGAATAAAATAAATTCATCTTAGCATAACTTAATTTAGCAAATTCTGTTGGTTTTCATGAATACCAGTTTATTTACTAAGACTTCAAAAACCATCTGCTTAACTCTAAGAATTTTGGCAGGGACTGATCTTAAACTTCCTAGTCTTTTGCCTCAACTTCTATTTTGAAAATTGGATTAAAGATTTACCCATCTCCAGTCTTCTGCCATCACGCTTACTGTGATTTCTAAAGAATTACAGAAGTTATTTACAGTAATCAATATGTATGTTCCTTTAGTGCCCTGAGGTATAGTATACCTGGACTGGAGACTTGACTGTTCACATGGGTTGATGCTCTCTAACTATTGTATGACCTATCTAGAGTTTCGGTTTCTTCTTTATGTTAACTGATCTTATATTTCTAGTTTGAAGATCATTTTGGAAAAAAGATATAGGTAAATTGCTAGTCACCCCCACCTCCAGTTCCCCACTAGTATGCCTTTTTGTTATATGTTATGTCCCCATGGCAGTTCTCCATTATTGCATTAATCATAGTTGTAATTATCTATTTTGGTTTCATAATTCTGGGTAGGCAATCTTGTTCCCTACACTTATGCACCTGGCATATAGCAGGAACCCAGTAATATTTGTGGAATGATGATCTTCGCAACTTCTAATGACTGAATGTCTGTATCCCTAAGATATATAGGAGCTAATAATTTTTTAATGGTTCATCAAAGGAATGAATATATTTAGCAAAAACAAAGGCAAAGAGCACTATCTTTTCCAGAGTTCTCCTTTTCTTATTGTTTTTCTTTTTCAAATTTCTACTACCCTCTCTTTTTCTGGCTTCAAAATTTCTTCTTAGTGTGGCATGGATGAGTAAATTACATTACTAAATGTTGATTCTCCAAGAAGATTTACATTTTTAAAGAAGTTAATATCTGAAATAATATATTATTAATAATAACATTACCTATATTTGTCAGATGCAAAAGGTATTTTGTAGAATGGTGGTGGGGGGATTTCTATTGTCTTTAAAAAAACATTCATAGTCCTGCCCATCTCTCTATTTCTTCCTTCTTTCTTTCCACAGATACTTATTGAGCACCTAATGTGCTAAACTGTTGGGGATTAGAAAGCAAAACAGTTAACAGGAAAAGGGAAAGGGCCATTTGGTAGAGAGCCACCCAGAATCAGGCAAAGAAATTTGAATCTGATATTCCATGCAAGGAGATGCTGCTGTCTTTAGTTAGCAACCTATAGCAAAATTTCTGGAAGTCATTTAGTGGAGTCAGTGGAATGAATTCTGATGATATGCTATTATATATTTCAGGCTTACCTTTAGGAAGGCAAAACAAAAATTAGGGAAAGGTGGACCAATTTCCTTAACAGAAAATTCAATATTGTTCTGTAATGGGCAGCACAACTGGTCTGATATTTTTGATAATTAACACAAATTTTATTGCTGTTGCAGGTTTATAATTACTGTCAATCAACTACAATTTTTATTTAGTTTATTGCCATATAAGACAGCATCAGGGAAGGGCATACATTTATTCCTCAAAAACAACCCGAATCTTCTGCCAACAGTTTTGTAGTCTGCAATCCCTTAATTTTGCATGAAGACATCCTCTGTAAAAATCTAGCATAAACTCTTCTACCTTTGGAATATAATTCAGGGAGTTATAATGTGAAAAAGAAAATAAAACATACCTGATGTTTTAGACTATTTGAACAATGTATTCCCAAGACATGGGAGTGTTTCACTTCCTGAATAATGCTCGGTTCAATTCAGAAAACATTTAAGACTGAAATGTTACATATGTTGAACATGAAAGGTTTTGCCACTCAGTTGAGTAGTTTGTATTCTACCTCCTAGGGAGACACTTTCAGGATCACCCATTATCCCATATAGAGCCTTTGAAAGGATTAGAAAAGGGCACCTCACTTTGGGTGGATTCAGCTCCCAGACAATATTATTGCTTTGCTTTAGAGTTGGGGCTAAAATTTCAGCCTCCAACTTCTTTCTAGGGCTGGTGCCTCATAACACCCCTGGGTGTTTAAGTTCCTATATTCCTCCTGTTTCTTTTTTATGAATTAGGGGTTGGATCATCTCTCCTGATCAGAAAGATAAACTTCTTATAGTAAGAACTTATATTTTATACCAAAATAAAAGAAAATAAAAACAAAGTATATCTGAACAATACCAGGCATTTCCCACATGTTATCTCCTAATCCTCAGAAGAGTCCTTTGATGTAGGCATTATTGTACAAAGTTGTGTGATTAAGAAATTATTTACTGGTTAGGTGACTTGCTTCAAGTCTAAGATCTAGAAAGTAAAGGGGCAAACTCAGATGCAAACCCTGGTCTGACTCCAAAACCCAAGTACTTTGTTCTTGGAATTTCCCTCTCTTTTTCTCCCCAAGGCCACACTTACTGGGAATTTTACCACAGATTTCCCCCCAGAGTCCACCCAGTGTCCCACTGCTGTAGGGATCTCAGCCTAATCCAGACACTCATCCTCTTGTTTATTCATCCTCCCCCTGCCCCTGTCAGAGATGTCTTGTTTCCTCTTGCTAAAATAATCAGTTCTCCTTGTTGTTGGAGTTTATCCCAACCTGCTACACTGCATGTACCCTGGAACTAATTGATGCCTACTTCTCCAACCTTACTGAGCTCCTTTCCCCTTACTAGAACTAGACCATCTCACAATCCTGTTATAGTTAACTATTTTTCCCTTCCATTCGTTCTGACCAGACTCCATCTGATTTCTTTCACTTTGCTCTATGTATTTATCATGCATAAAGTAGAACCCTTAACGTTCAGTTTTCAGAGGGTGGTCTAGCCTTCCCTTACTCCTGATTTCATGGAGTTCCTAAATTCTGCAGTGGACACCAGCATGGATTGATTGCCTGTACTTATCAGAGATCCCATTTTCTTCGCTCTGCAGCCCAGTAGGGAAGAATTATTGATCCCTCTACTGAGAGCAGCAGATATGTGAAATGTGTCCCTGGAAACTTGTGGCATGGTTTGGCATGTGATTAGGACTTCTAGAGTGACTAGAACATAGAGTACAAGTAGGTTAAGATTGGAATAGAGTTTTACTAATTTATATGATGTGGCATAATTTTTATGGAAAATGTCTTAAAATGGTAAGCCAGTTTATAAACTCTTGAAAAGCATGTCTTTCTTAAGTTAGCCCTTCCTTATATATATTAGTGTTCAAGAATGCTTACTGATTAATTCACTTTGTTTTATTTGATAGATTTGTATTTTATTTCTATTGTCTATTTCTCTTAGATTTCACTTCTCCAGGCAGGTAGAATAAATGAATGAATTATAAATTGTCACTTATTGACTGTCACTATGTGCCAGCTGTCTACAGCTGCATTTTATTAATCTTCTATTTTAATCCTTCCATTCAACTTGACTTGGACCATTTCATCTGGCAGAGTTAGGATTTTTCTTCCCAGGTTCTGACTACAAAGTCCATACATTTTTCAGTATTCTTCTGGCCTAATTTGGGGTTCTTCTCCAACGGAGGAGAATATTCCATCTTTAGGTAAAGTGAACCCATGTGACACTATGAGATTAAAACATGCAAGAAAATAGAAAGGAAGGCAAATGTTATTGGATATAGGTAAAGTCTCAATGTCATTGAGGAAAAAGAAAAGCAACAAAGAAGCCCCGATGCAATAATTTTATATATATATATATATAATTTATATATGTGTAAAATATATATATATGTGTGTGTATATATATATTGCAAAAGGTACATGGAAATGGTGCTTTGTTGATCTTATGATGATAAATTCTTTACAGTGATTGAAATGGAAGGGCTTCCGTTAGTTCTTTTATTTCTTCTATACCATTCTTTCCCTAAAGCAAAAGTATGACGAAGCTAATCAAACTCTAGTCAAGAAAAGAATACATGCCTTAAATTTAGTTCTTCATCAACAGCAAACACTTCAATAGCCAATAACCCCTTTGCCTCCCAATAGTGCTGTGACCTAAACAAACAAACAAAACCCAGAGAGGCTTAAATGTGGTTATTATGAATCATTCAAGGGGATATTGTCTATGTTTTGCTTCGCCTTTTAGTTTGTTTATATTCTTAGGGGACAATTTCAAGAGTTAAAAGACAGGAAAAATTCTGGGCTTGCTTTTATCCCTTATGAAATAAAGGATTCTATAAATATTGGTCGAAAGTTAAATACATTTGCCATACTCCATCAGAACTTAAGTGTGTTATATAAATGTCATTTGGGAAGGGAAAAATAAAAGCAAGAAGTCTAATTTCGTTTTCAGACATAGAAATAGAGCTCCCTCATGGGTGTCTAGAATGCCTTGGTTTTTGTTGTCTCATGAAGAACGGATCATATAATTAAAATGTCCTGTGCAATTAATCATATCTTAGAATTATATCAATAGCTCTATCAATTAAGGTAACCTTCCTTTTCACTTCCAGTAAGTTCGACCAATGATAAATGAAGCCACATAACCAAAGAGACAGTCAGATAATGTAGCCAGGGCTCACAGATGAGTTTTAAGAATAATCCAATAATTAGACAGTGTTTTGCAGTGGAAGAGTTAAAACAGCAGGCACTTTTAGCCAGAAGAAGAAAACACTGAGGGTTTTATAAATAGTATTTGTGAAAACTATGTAAGACTTTATACAGAAGAAAGGTTATCAGCATGGGACCAGGTGCTGGAGGGTTGTTGGGAGGTGAGTCTCAGACCTATATGCATTTAAAAAGCTTCACAGATGTTCCACATGCACAGCTAAGGTTGGGAACAATTGCTCTTGTCACTTGTTCTGTCATCCTGAATGACTAAATAATGTAGGTGTTTGTAGACTCCTTATATTCCAGGGTCTCTTGTCATGAAATGCTTAGTTCAGCTCATAGGCAGTGGCAATGAAGCTGTCCTAAAAGAAAGCTCATACTGTGTTCTGGAAGTGGTATTAGATCTTTTACACAGGACATTTTGTTTCGTTCTTGAAACAAACTTTTGAGAAACATATTATCATTCTGATTTTATACATGAAGAAATCTCGCAGTTTCAGTGACTTGCTGCACATAATAAAGCATAGGAACCAGAGTCCGGGTAGGGACTGTCAGACTTCAAACCTGCTCCAGAAAATGGATCTGAACACCTAAGGCAGATTGGAATTTAAAAACCTACTACATTGACTGTCACTGATATCAGAATCAGGAGTGAGAATTGAAATACTTCATAACTGGTATAACTTATTGATTTCAATATTTGTTCATGCCAACAAACTGTATGCTCATTCACATATTACCCAGACTTATTCAGATATTACCATGTGGTGGTTGGCACAATCCAAACACAAGGTAGTTTTTTTTTAAAGAATTTTATTATTTTTCTTTTTCTTACAACACACAATTTCACAGGGGTTCATATGTCTATGTATTTATATATGTTTCTCTCTATATATTTTGTGAAACATAGTGGCAGAATCTTCAAATTCAACTACCATATCTCATTCCCAGTGAAGTTGCAATTTTATTTGTCTTCTTATGTCATTTATCTTGGTCTTGCTTTGCCACAGGCATTCCTCATGTGTTACTAGACTGAAAATTTAATCCTACTCATGTCTTATTAGCTTCGGTGTCCCATATTGGCCTTCCTTTTTTCTACCACTAAGTTGGCATACACCTTTATCAATTTGTCTATTCTGCATATGCCATATAAATGAAATCGTGTAATATGTGGCCTTTTCTATCTGTTTTTTTCTCACTTAGCATAATGTTTTTAAAGTTTATTTATGTTGTAGAATGTATCACAGCATAATGTTTTCAAAATTTATCCATATAGTAAAATATATCAGTACTTCATTCCTTTTTATTACAAAATAATATTCAATTCTGTGTTTCTCCATTCATCAATTGGTAGGCATTTGGGTTGTTCACCCTTTTTGACTATTTTGAGCAATGCTGCTATGAGCATTTATGTGCAAGTTTTTGTATGAACATTTGTTTTCAAATTTCTTTGTTATATATAACTAGAGGTAGAATATTGGAGTCATATGGTAACTCTATATTTAACAGTTTAAGGAACTGCCGAACTATTTTCCAAAGTGGTTACACTATTTTACAATACCACCAGCAATGTATGAAGGTTCCAATTTTTCCATATCCTTGCCAACTTTTGCTATTGTTAGTCTTTTTTATTTTAATCACCTTAGTGGTGAGAAGTGGTTTCTTATTGTGGTTTTGATTTGCATTTCTCTAATGACTAATGATGTTTAGTATTTTTATGTGCTTATTGGCCATTTGTAGATCTTCTTTAGAGAAATACTTATTCCTTTGCCCACTTTTAAATTGGATAATTTGTCTTTTTATTGTTAATTATGAGTTCTTCATATGGTCTGAATACAAGTCCCATATCAAATATATGATTTTTAAATACGTTCTCCTAGTCTGTGAATGTCTTTTTACTTTCTTGATGTCCTTTGAAGCATAAAAGTTTTAAATTTTGACAAAATTCAGTTTATTTATTTCTTTTGTTACTTGTTATTTTGGTGTTATATCTAAGAAACCATTACCCTATCCAAGGTCATGAAGATTTATCTATACTTCTTCCCCAAGAGTTTTGTAGAGTTTACCCTTTCGTTTAGGCGTTTGATTCATTTTGAGTTCATTTTTGTACATTATATGAGGTAGGTATTCAACTTCATTCTTTTGCATGTGGATAGATATCCAGTTATCCCAGCACCATTTGTTGAAAAAACTATTTTTTCTATTGATCTATATGACTATTCTTATGCTGTACCACACTGTCTTTATTATTGTAGCTTTTTAGTAGTCTTTGAAATTGGGAAGAGTGACTCCTCCCACTTTGTTCAAAGTTTTCAAAATTTTTTGGCTATTCTGAGTTCCTTCTGTTTCCATATAAATAAATGTTAGAACCAGCTTTTCAATTTCTGTGAAAAAAAGCACCACGGATTTTTTTTATAGGGATTTTGATGAACCTGTTGATCAATTTGGTGGAGATTATTGCCATTTAAAAAATATTGTGTCTTCTAACCCATGACCATGCAATGTCTTACCACTTATTTATGCCTTCTTTAATTTATTTCAACTATGTTTTTAAATTTTTAGTGTACAAATCTTAGATTTTTTTTGTGAAGTTCATGTCTAAGTAATTTATTTTATTCTATTGTAAATGAAATTTTATTTAAATTTAATTTTGCATTTCCCATTACTACCATATAGAAATACAATTGGTTTTTTTAGTATTGTCCTTGTATCTGCAAACTTGCTGAACTTGTCCATTATTTCAAATAAAGTTTGTGGCTTCTTTAGGATTGTTCTACATATGTAAGTTCATGTCATCTACAAATTAAGATAGTTTTACTTCTTTCTTTCCAATCTGGATGCTGTTTGTTTTTCCTATCTATTGCCCTGACTAGAACCTTCAGTACAATGTTGAATGGAAATAGTGAGTGACATCCATTTCTTGTTTCTGATCTTAGGGGGAAATATTCAGTTTTTCACCATTAAATAGAATCTTAGCTGTAGGTTTTTCATAGACGCCTTTATCAGATTTAGAGAATTCTCATTCTTTCTAGTTTGTTGAGTGCTTTTATCATGGAAGCATGTTACTCTTTTTTTTTTTTAGACGGAGTCTCGCTCTGTTGCCAGGCTGGAGTGCAGTGGCATGATCTCGGCTCACTGCAACCTCCGCTCCGCAGGTTCAAGTGGTTCTTCTGCCTCAGCCTCCCAAGTAGCTGTGATTACAGGTGTCTGCCACCACACCCAGATAATTTTTGTATTTTTAGTAGAGATGGGGTTTCACCATGTTGGCCAGGCTGGTCTCGAGCTCCTGACCTCAGGTGATTCACTCACCTCCCAAAGTGCTGGGATTATAGATGTGAGCCACCATGCCCGACCAGAAGCATGTTACATTTTGTCAAATGCACTCTCTGTGTCTGTTGAGATGATTTTGTGGATTTTGTCCTTTATTCTATTAATATAGTGTATGATATTGGTTGATTTTTCATATATTGAACCAGCCAAGTATTCCTGAGGCACTTGGTCATGATATATAATTATTTTGTATGTTGTTGCATTTAGTTTGCCAGCATTTTGTGGAAGGTTGTTGTGTCTACATTTATAAGGGATGTTGATGTCTACTTTTCTTGTGATGTGTTTATATGGTTTTGATATTAGTGTAATACAAGATTCCTAAAATGAATTTGAAAGTGTTTCCTTTTTTGTGTTTTTTGTTTGTTTGTTTTTTTTAAAGAAGCATTTGTGAGGGATTGTTATTGTCTTCTTTAAATGTTTGGTTTAATTCACCTTTGAAGCCATCTGAGCCTGGCCGTAATATATGGAAAGTTTTGAAATTACAAATTCAATCTCTTACTTGTTATAGGTCTACGCAGATATTTTTATTTTTTCTTAAGTCAGTTTTGGTAGGATTTTGTTTATTTCAGCTAGCCTATCTGTTTTGTTGGCATGGAGTTATTCATAGTATTCCTTATAAACTTTTTTATTTCTGTAAAGTTGGTAGTGATAGCTTCTCTTTCATTCCTGATTTTAGTAATTTGAGTCTTCTCTCTCTTTTTTTTTGTTCAGTCTACCTGAAATTTTGTCAATTGTATTTTTTTTCAAAGAACCAACTTACATTTCTTTGAATTTCTTTATTGTTTTTCTATTCTTTATTTGCATTTATTTTTGCTCTTATTATTTCCTCTTTTCTGCTTGCTTTCAATTTATATTTCTTTCTAGTTTCTTAATACTAAAGGTTATAATTGACTTATGTCTTTTTAAAAATAGGCTTACAGCTATAAATTTCTCTCTAAGCACTGCGGCATTCCATAAGCTTTGGTATGTTGTGTTTTTGTCTTCATTCATTTGAAATTATTTTTAATATCCCTTCAGAATTCTTCTTTGGCACATTGCTAATTAAGGAGCATGTTGACTATTTCCACATATTCATGAATTTCTCAATTTTCATTTTTATTGTTTTCTAATTTTTTTCTATTATGGTCAGAGAACATACCTTGTATGACATAAAACATTTAAAATGTATTGAGACTTGTTTATGGCAAGTCTCATATTGCATGGTCTATTCTGCAGGATGTTTCACGTGTACTTAAGAAGAACGCACATTCTGCTGTTGTTTGGTAGAGTAGTCTATAGATGTCTGTTAGGTCTACTTGGCTTATGGTATTATTTAAGTCTTCTGTTTGCTGGTTGATGTTCTGCCTAATTGTTCTATTCATTATTGAAAATGTGATATTGAAGTCTCCAACTATTATTTTTTAATTGTCTATTTCTCCCTTCAATTCTGTTACTTTTTGTTTCATGTTTTGGAGGCCCTATTTTTAGGTGTATATATGTTTATGCTTGTTGTGTCTTCCTGACTGACTGTTTTATCTTTATAAAATGTCTTTTTTTTTGTCTCTAGTGACAAGTTTTGTCTCAAAGTCTATTTGTTCAATATTAGTATAGTCACTGAAGTTATCTTTTGGTTGTTATTTGCATGATGTATCTTTTTTTCATATTTTTACTTTCAACCTATTAATGTCTTTGAATATTAAGTGTATCTTTTATGGACAACATGTGGATCATTTTTTGAACAAAATTTATCTGGCTTGGCTCAGTGGCTTGTCTGTAATCTCAGCATTTTGTGGCAGGCAGAGTGAGGCAGAAGGATCCCTTGAGGCCAGGAATTTGAAACCAGCCTGGGCAACACAGCAAGGCCCTGTCTATAAGAAAACAAAAAAGCAAAACCTAAAACAAACAAAAACAGAAGAGTCCATTCTGCTCATCTCTTTGTTTGGAGTGTTGAATCTACTTACATTTAATGTAATTGTTGATAAGGTAGTATTTATGCCTGCCATCTTGCTATTTGTTTCTAATATTTCTTATATCATTATTGTCCCTCTATACCTCCATTACTGCCTTCCTTTGTATTAAATAGATATTTTCTAGTTTATTCTTTTAATTTCCTTTATGTTTTTCATACATATTTTTAAGAGTTATTTTTTAGTTGGTATTCTAGAGGTTATAATTGATTTTTTAACTTAAAATAATCTATTTTGAATTAATATCAACAGTTTGTTTCAATAATATACAAAAAAACTTTGCCCCAATATTTCCTCCTCCCTTATTTGTATTGTTGCTTTTGTACAAATTACATCTTCATATAAGCACATCAACAGAGATTTGTAATTATTGCTTTATGCAGTTGATTTTTTAAGGCATAAGGGTGGTGAAAAGAGTATAAATAAAAGTACATTTATACTATCTTATATTTACCTTTACCCACACTTTTTACGTTTTTTAGTGTGAATTTGCATTACTGTTTACTGTCTTTTCAGCCAGAAAGCCTCCCTTTAATAATTTAGTATTTCTATCATTCATCATGATCAAGTGAAATTTATCCCTGGGATGCAAGGATGATTCAACGTACACAAATCAATGTGATATATCATATCAACAGAATGAAGGATAAAAACCATATGACCATTTCGATTGATGCTGAAAAAGCATTTGATAAAATTCAACATCTCTTCGTGATAAAATACCCTCAAAAACTGAGAATAGAAGGAACATACCTCAACATAATTAAAGCCATATATGAAAGACCCATAGCTAGTAGCACATTGAATGGAGAAAAACTGAAAGCCTTTTCTCTAAAATCTGGAACATGACAAGGATGCCCACTGTCACCACTATTATTCAACGTAGTACTGGAAGTCCTAGCAAGAGCAATCAGACAACAGAAAGATATAAAGGGCCTCCATATTGGAAAGGTGTAAGTCAAATTATCCTTGTTTGCAGGTGATATGATTTTAGAAAAACCTAAAGGCTCCACAAGAAAACTATTAGAACTAGTAAATTTGGTAAAGTAGCAGGATACAAAATTAACATACAAAAATCAGTAGCATTTCTGTGTGCCAATAGTGAACAATGTGACAAAGAAATAAAAATATCCCATTTACAATAGCCACACATAAGATTAAAAACAAATGAATTAAGAAAAGAAGTGAATGATCTCTATGATGAAAACTATAAACCATTGACACAGAAATTGAAGAGGACACAGAAAAATGGAAAGACATTCCGTGTTCATGGATTGGAAGACTCAATATTATTAAAATGTTTGTACTACCCAAAGAAATGTACAGATTCAATGAAATCCCTATCAAAATACCAATAACATTCTTCACAGAAATAGGAAAAGATAATCCAAAAATGTATATGGAACCACAAAAAAACCAGAATAGCCAAAGCTATCCTAAGCAAAAAGAACAAAACTGGAGGAATCACATTACCTGACTTCAAATTATACTACAAAGCTACAATAACCAAAACAGTATGACACTGTCATAAAAATATATACATAGACCAATGGAAAAGAATAGAGAACACAGAAACAAATAAACACACCTAGAGTGAACTCATTTTTGACAAAAGTGCCAAGAACATACACTGGGGAAAAGACAGTCTCTTCAATAAATGGTACTGGGAAAACTGGATATCTATATGCAGAATAATGAAACAAGACCCCTATTTGTCATTAATTACAAAAATCAAATAAAAATGAATTAAGACTTAAATCAAATCCCTCAAACCATGAAACTACTATAAGAAAACTTTGGGGAAATTCTCCAGGACATTGGTCTGGGCAAAAATTTCTTGAGCAATATACCATAAGCACAGACAACCACAGCAAAAATGGAAAAATGGGATTACATCAAGTTAAAAAGCTTCTGCACAGCAGAGGATACAATCAATAAAGTGAAAGGACAACCCACAGAATGGAAGAAAATATTTGCAAACTACTCATTTGACAAGGGATTAATAACCAGAATATATAGAGTGTGCGAACAACTCTATAGGAAAATAACTTTGCCAAAAGATGAGCAAAAGATTTGAATATACATTTCTCACAAGAAGACATACACAACTGGAAAACAGGCGTATGAAAAGGTGTTCAACATCATTGATCATTGGAGAAATATAAATGAAAACTGCAATGAGCTATCATCTTACCCAGTTAAAATGGCTTAATTCAGAAGACAGGCAATAACAAGTGCTGGTGAGGATGTAGAGAAAAAGGAAAACCTTATACACTGTTAGTGGGAATGTAAATTAGTACAACCATTATGGAGGATAATATGGAGGTTCCTCAAAAAACTAAAAATAGAACTACCATATGGTCCAGCGATCCCACTGCTGGATATATACCCAAAGAAAAGGAAATCAGTATGTTGAAGAGATATCTGCACTCCTATGTTTATTGTAGCACTGTTTACAATAGCTAAGATTTGGAAGCAACCAAAGCGTCCATCAACAGATGAATGGATAAAGAAAATGTGGTACTTATACGCAATGGAGTACTATCCAGCCATAAAAATAATGAGATCTAGACAAGTCATTTGCAACAACATGGATGGAACTGGAGATCTTTATGTTAAGTGAAATTGGCCAGGCACAGAAAGACAAACTTCAAATGTTTTTGTTTATTTGTGGGATCTAAAAAGCAAAACAAACTCATGGAGATAGAGAGTTGGAGGATGGTTACCAGAGGCTGGGAATGGTAGTGTGGGGTTTGTGGTTAAGGTGGGGAGGGTTAATGGGTACAAAAGTACTTAGAAAAAATGAGTAAGACCTATTTGATAGCACAACAGGGTGACTATAATAAATTATAACTTAACTCTACATTTAAAAATAAAGAGTGTGATTGGAGTGTTTGAAACTCAATGGGTAAATGCTTGAGGGATTGGATACCCCGTTCTTCATAATGTGCTTATTTCATATTGCATGCCTGTATCAAAACATCCCATGTACCCTATAAATACATACACCTACTGTGTACCTACACAAAATTTAAATTAAAATAAAAATTTCATATTTCTTATAGAGTAGGTCTAATAGCAACAACTTTTCTAGCTTTTTTTCTTTATGGAAATATTTTTTATTTTCACAAAACTATTCCCAACCACTGGAACACAAAAGGTATACAAACACATAAAAGCATGAAAGGAGCTAAGAACATATAGCTGTGAAGAAATTTGATTGTAGAAAAATACATAGTTTTGTTTATAATAAAGACTAATTTTTTAGAGCAGTTTTAGGTTCATAGCAAAATTAAGAGGAAAGTACAGAGATTTCCCATATCTCCCTTGCCCCCATACATATGTGTAGCTTCCCCCATTATCAACATCCCCACCAGAGTGCTACATTTGTTACAATTGATGAACCTACATTGACACATCATCATCACCCTCAGTTCATAGTTTGCATTAGGGTTCATTCTTGATGTACATTCTATGGGTCAGGATTGATTTTGACTAACATCTTAAGAACAGAGCCTTTCCCACTGAGTGAGTTCTGTATCAGGTCAAATAAAGACATGTCCTATAAATGGAGCTTTTCCAGGGAGCTGCTGCATACATCAAATATGAATTCTCTGTGAGTGCAAGACAGTTTGTAGAGCTCCAAACCCATTTAACGCCCTCTAGTATATGTTGGTTTTAAGAGTGATTGTGAGACTGTTGTGGAGCTGGGGAGATGGAAATGGGATTAGAGCAAATTTAAATACACAATGTTAACTGTTTTCACAAAAATTCTGATGATTTTCTTGAATAAATCCTTGATGGATTATTGCAAACCTTTGGTTAAGTGCTAAAGTTTATTTTGACAACTTTTTGAGTGTTCCTGTGCCTTTTATGAAGGAGTGGAGTTCTGGAGATTCTTATTCTACCTCTGTAAGTGCTTCTTCACTGGCTTTTAAAATAGGTGAAGAACTTGAAGAAGTAGAATTGTGAGGTAAGGCATGTTCAAATTCAGTGTTAAGCTGATCTAACAAGCAGATGAGCTCAAAGTAGAGCCTTGGCATACAGTTGAATGGAAAATGAAATAAAGAAGGTGAAATTGGCATGTTGGGATATACAGCGCTATGCTAGAGAGTTTTGATTTGAATAAAATTTATTTAGAAAGTATTTGAGTTTTTGGGCTAGGAATAATTTGAGAATAATTGTGTTCAAAGATTCTTCTAATGGTGGTATATAGGATGAAGTGAAGCTGTCCAAGAAGGGAGATGAGTTCAGAGACAGTGACATTAATCTGCATGTGTGATGCTGAAACCTAGTTTAACATGGACGTGGGACAACAAGAGTGGACCAATCATGGGACTTGGTGATGGACTGGATCTTAGAAGCCAGGAAACCAGAGGAGTTTCAAAACACACAAATATTGCTGATCTGCTTTGCAGGGATGCTGGTAGAGTAATGGTAACAAGAATAGTGGAAAAGCAGATATGTGACTAATTCTTATTTTGTCTTCTTAAAGAATTCCTTCATTTAGCTAAAAGTTTCTTAAGCTTTTTGCAGGTACACAATCATATTAAATAACTAGTGGTTGGTTATTAAAGCCAGAATTTTATGCCATCAAAAGCTGAATATCTTCAAGTGGCCTCCTAAATCACGTTAATTTTTTAAAAAGGGCCGGGCGCGGTGGCTCATGCCTGTAATCCCAGCACTTTGGGAGGCCGAGGTGGTCAGATCACGAGGTCAGGAGATCGAGACCATCCTGGCTAACATGGTGAAACCCCGTCTCTACTAAAAATAGAAAAAATCAGCCGGGTGTGGTGGCAGGTGCCTGTAGTCCCAGCTACTCGGGAGGCTGAGGCAGGAGAATGGGGTAAACCCGGGAGGTGGAGCTTGCAGTGAGCCGAAATAATGCCACTGCACCCCAGCCTGGGTGAGAGAGTGAGACTCCATCTCAAAAAAAAAAAAAAAAAGAAAAGAAAAAAGAAAAAAAAAGTTTCCTAAAAGTCTAAATATATTGTAAAATGTTTATCACATTAACTTACTTTCCTAATGTGTAATTCTCTGAGAAAGCAAATGTAGTTATTTTAGGTGTTTCCATTAATGGTGTTTAATTATTATGTGTAGAAATGACAATTTCACAGCCTCGAATGTATATTAATTAACCAAATAAGTGAGTCCTGGGTTCAGGTGTTGGTTGTCATTTAGAACACAATGCTTTTCTCTCAGCATATGGATTCATCATTATTTTTCAAGTAACTTTCATCTTTTATTTTTCTTTATCCCTTGATGAGTGAAAACAATAAATGGCAAATGACATGATTATCACTGAAGTGGTGACTGTAATTTGTATAATTGAGAAACATTCATTGCTATGTGGGACTAAATTCAGATTTCTGGACTTATCCTTCCCCTATGAGCACTTCACTTCTCATTCAGTTGTTCACTTCTGAACATACTTCTAACAAGACTGAGACTGGAGATACCAAAACATATTTTCATATTGTCATTGCAATATATTCTTCTTCAGTATTTTAAACAATGATATTATTTGTCAATATTTTTGTTGTTCCAGATTTTTCAAGGATTCAAGTCACAGATTTATATTATTTACCTTTATGTTACCATATTTCTTGTCTCTGTGAAGTAAATGACTACAAAGAGGGTTTTTTAAAAATAATTAATGTTTCTGTTAAAATAGCACAGGGATTGGAAGGTTTTGGGAGGCCATTCAAGTTTTTCTCCATATTTTTAAGACTTAATTTTTATTAATATTGGTCATTTATGTTATTTATTTATCCATTCTTTTGTTAATTAATTGAGTCATTTAACATAAATAATTCAATATTTTGAAAGTCTACTCTGTGTAGGAATTGTATGGATTTCTGTGAAGCATAAAATAGAAGCGTGCACACACACACAAATGAAACACCAAATGGAGCACTAGCTCACTGGGAGGGTAGAATCTAAAAAGTAGCTAAAATACCTCAAAATGATAAGAGCCATATATGATAAACCCACAGCCAACATCATACTGAATGGGGAAAAGTTGAAAGCATTCTCCCTGAAGGCTGGAACAAGACAAGGATGCCCACTTTCATCACTTCTATTCAGCACAGTACTGGAAGTCTTAGCCAGAGCAATCAGGCAAGAGAAAGAAAGAACATCCAAATTGGAAAAGAGGAAGCCAAACTATCTTCTTTTGCTGATGATATGATCTTATACCTTGAAAACCCCAAAGACTCCTCCAAAAGACTCCTAGATCTGATAGATGAATTCACTAAAGTCTCAGATTACAAAATCAACATAAACACTAATCAGTAGCACTGCTATACACCAACAATGACCAAGCTGAAAATGAAATGAAGAACTCAATCCCATTTACAATAGCTGCAAAATAATATAATATTAATAAAATACCTAATACACTTAACCAAGGATGTGAAAGGTCTCTCCAAGGAGAACTACAAAACACCAATGAAAGAAGTCATAGATGACACAAACAAATGGAAAAACATCCTATTCTTATGGATTGGAAGAATCAATATTGTGAAAATGACCATACTGCTCAAAGCAATCTACAGATTCAATACAATTCCTATCAAAATACCAATGTCATTCTTCACAGAATTAGAAGAAACAATCCAAAAATTCACAAGGAACCAACCAAAAAAGCCTAACTAGCAAAAGCAGTCCTAAGGAAAAAGAACAAATCTAGATGCATCACATGACCTGACTTCATGTTATACTACAGGGCTATAATAGTAACCAAAATAACATGGTACTGGTATAAAATAGGCACAGAGACAAATGTAACAGAATTGAGAACCCAGAAACAAAGCAAAATACCTACAACCAACTGATCTTTGACTAAGCAGACAAAAACATGCACTGGGGAAAGGACATCCTATTTAATAAATGGTGCTGAGAAAATGGAATAGCCACGTATAGAAGAATGAAAACTGGATTCCTATCTCTCACCATGTATAAAAATTAACTCAAGATTAATTAAAAACTTAAATGTGACCAGGCGTGGTGGCTCACGCCTGTAATCCCAGCACTTTGGGAGGCCGAGGTGGGTGGCTCACGAGGTCAGGAGATTGAGACCATCCTGGCTAACACGATGAAACCCCGTCTGTACTAAAAATGCAAAAAATTAGCCAGGTTGGGTGGCAGGCGCCTGTAGTCCCAGCTATTCGGGAGGCTGAGGCAGGAGAATGGCGTGAACCTGGGAGGCGGAGCTTGCAGGGAGCCGAGATCGGGCCACTGCACTCCAGCCTGGCGACAGAGCGAGACTCCGTCTCAAAAACAAACAAACAAGCAAACAACAACAACAACAAAAAAACCTTAAATGTAAGACCTGAAACCATAAAAATTGTAGAAGAAAACTTAGGAAAACTCTTCTGGATATTGCCTTCGGCAAATAATTTAGGGCACAGACCCCAAAAGCAAATCCAACAAAACAAAAATAAATGTGATTGAATTAAATGAAAAAGCTTCTGCACTGCAAAAGAAATAATCCACAAAGTAAACAGACAACCTACAGAATGGGAGAAAATATCCACAAACTGTATATCTGACAAAGCACTAATATGCAGAATCTATAAGGAACTCAAACAAATCAGCAAGAAAAAAAAAAACAATCCCGTTACAAAGTAGACAAGCAATATGAACAGATATTTTTCAAAAGAAGACATACAAATGGCCAACAAACACATGCTCGATATCACTAATCATCAGAGAAATGCAAATTAAAACCACAGTGAGCTACAAGATCACCCTAGTCAGAATGGCCATTTTCAAAAAGTCAAAAAACAATAGATGTTGGTTCAGATGCGGAGAAAAGAGAATGCTTATAAACTGTTGGTGGGAATGTGAATTAGTAAAACCTCTATGGAAAACAGTGTGGCAACTTTTCAGAGAACTAAAAGCACATCTACCATCTATTGAACAATCCAACTACTGGGTATTTCCTCAAAGAAAAGGAAGTTATTAGAAAGACAATTGTACTCATATGTTAATTGCAACACAATTCACAATTGCAAAGATACGGAATCAATCTCAGTGCCCATCAACTGATGACCGGATAAAGAAAATGTGGTATATATACCATGGAATGCTACTCAGCCATAAGAAAGAATGAAATTATGTCTTTTGCAGCACCTTGTATGGAACTGGAAGCCATTATCCTAAGTGAAGTAACTTGGAAATAGAAAACCAAATACCACATATTCCTACTTATAATTGGAAGCTAAGTTATAGGTACACAAAGGTGTACTGTGTGGTGTAGTTGACACTGGAGACTCAGAAGGGGGGAGAGTTGGGAGGTTCCTATAATTTATCCATGTAACCAAAAAACACTTGTATTCCTAAAGCTATTGAAATAAAAAGTAAAAATAAAAATGTATACTACAACAACAACAAAAGTAGCTAACAATAAAAATATTGATTATAAATGCAGTCCTGAAAAGCTAATGTGTCATGAGATACTGATTTAATATCAAACAGAATATTACTGTTGTTTTTAGGTTCAGAGAAGAAAGCAAGCTATGTAGTCAAGTGTAGCCACAAAATTCTTACTGGACTAAGTAGAATTTATGATTGCCTATGAAGGAAAGGGAGAATTTCTATAGGCCTGGGAGGGCCCTGCTACTCAGAGGGAATAAGGAGAACATAAGCAAGAAGACAGAGGCAGGAATATGTCATTCAGGATGGAGGCTACTGAGTATATCAGGCATATGGGAAGAGAGGGTTTGTATTAAAAGGTATCCTTGGAGAGGCTTTGAAAGCTTTAAAGAATAAATTAGTATAAAATTCATATTTTTATTCAACAAATATTTATTGGATGATCATGATTGTCCTCTGACAGTACTATACTGTGAGGGTTATAATAGTCCCTACCTTTTAGAAGTGGTATGAAGCTGTGGATCTCAAGTGGGCCACTATGGGGTTGCTGAAAAGGGCTTGAAAATCCATACAGATACTAACCTCTGTCTGTAGATTAAATAAATGGTAGGTTTTACATATCCATGTCCATATTTATTATTTTAAAATTTGCATAAGTTTTGTTGTGATTAATAAAAATGGAAAATCACTTTTGCTTTTTGCTGATTTTTTTAATACAGTGGTACAACTTACCTGTTGCAGTTGGGCAAGGAAAGTGAGATTCTTTCCCCTGACTTTGTATTTTCACGTGGAGAGTTATGGATAAGTGTGACTGGGCTTCTCTCTGTTCCTGTTCTTTTCTCAGGGAAGTTAACTGACTCCTAAACTTGGGAGCAGAAACTGAGCTTGTGTCACTTATTCTCTTTGTGATCTTCTCACCTGCAGAAAGTATGTAAGGTAAGCCTAGCAATAAAGAACTCGCTTGGGAGACCTGATGCCAGTCTATGTAGTTCTAGAGTGTAGGAGTAGGAAGCCTACACTGCCAAGGGCCTAAACCAGTATCTGCTTCATCACTAGCCTTACTGATGTTTTAAACTCTTTTGCATGACCTCTTTGCCACAGTCTGGCAATCTGTGGTCACTAGGACAGTTCTGACTCACTGCAGGCCAAATCTGGACAAGCTTTTCTATTTACATATTGTACGTGGCTGCTTCTGTGCTACAACACCAATACTGAGTAGTTACAACAGAGACCATGTGGCCTGCAAAGCCTAAATGTTTAAAATCTCTGGTTGGTTTCTTGAACCCTGGACTCTTATCTATAATTTAGAGAGTAAATAAGAAAGTCATTTATTATACTGTCTACATTCCTAAATTAATCCTAATATTATCACTTAGAGAATCTGTAAAAATTTTTACTTCGAAAAAAATGTTTTAGTATTCAGAATGATGGGAACTCCTGGTTAAAATGGAGCTAAATTAGATGGGAGTTTGGAGATTATTTAAATATGTAACATAGGTATGAGCTGATGAAGCTTGAACTAGCTTAGTGATTATGGACGTAGAAAAATAGTGTGGATTTAAGGGTAATTAGGAAGTGAAAAGCTTACAGAAGTTGATGACTACTTCTTCTTTTATTTTTTTCCTGGAAACAGAGTCTTGCTGTGTCACCAGGCTGGTGTGCAGTGGTGCAATCTTTGCTCACTGCAACCTCTGCCTCCCAGGTTCAAGTGATTCTCCTCCCTCAGCCTCCCAAGTAGCTGGTATTACAGGCACACGCCACCATGCCCTGCTCATTTTTGTATTTTTAGTAGAGACAGCATTTCACCATGTTGGCCAGGCTGGTCTTGAACTCCAGACCTCAGCTGATCGGCCCATCTCAGCCTCCCAAAGTGCTGGGATTACAGGTGTGAGCTAATACGCCCAACTTGTTGATGGCTTCTTTACAGAAACAGTAAGCATGATAGAACAAGAGAAAGATAAATGGTTCAAGGGTTCGAGTCTAGGTGAACATTCTCCTCTTTGTCATCTTCTTATTGGTGAACTACATTCCACTTCTTTTGACTTCTTGTTGACTTCTGATCTAGATCATCTAGGTCTTTTTTTGAGGATTTGTACAAAGGTGGTTCCTATTTAGTTTTACCTGACATTTGGCATGTTTTCAGTTGCATTTGTATGATTCATTACAGAGATTATTCTTGGGATTTCACCATTTCCAATTTCACCTGGGGTATGCAAATTTCTACACAGTAGTGCCAGAAATAAAAATCAAAGCTCATTTGTATTTGAAATGGTATCATCTCTTTCCTCAGGTGGTAGATTCACAAACTATATTTTTTCCCTGAAAATCACATGTACATATAATTTTTTTAAATCAAGCAAAGCAAAAGAGAATATGATCTCATTTCCCAGTGTTAAACACCAAATGTTTCTAATAATATCTTCTAGAAATATTCCAGGAATATATAATTTGAGTGCATACTTTTTTCACACAGATATGAACATACATCACATATTATTCTTCCCTTTGTTTATTGTTTTAGCTTAACATATCAGTACTTGCACATTTATCTCATTTTAAAAATTACTGAGTAGTAATAATGGCTACATTGATTGATCACTTAGGCTTTTAGACACTAGACTAAGTGCTTTATGAAATGAATCATCTTTTTGAAATGAATCATTTTATTCATGTTATGTTCCTCATTTTTAATGGGGTTGTTTGGTTTTTTTGCTTGTAATTTTTTAAAAGTTTTTTATAGATTTGGGATTAGACCTTTGTCAGATGCATACTTTGCAAATATTTTCTCCCATTCTGTAGGTTGTCTGTTTACTCTGTTGATGGTTTTTTTTTTGTTTTTTTTTTTGTTTTTGTTTTTGTTCTGTTTTTTGGCTGTGCAGAAGCTCTTTAGTTTAATTAGGTCCCGTTTGTCAATTTTTGGTTTTGTTGCAATTGTTTTTGGCATCTTCATCAGGAAATCTTTGTCTAGTTCTATGTCCAGAGTGGTATTTCCTAGGTTTTCTTCCAGGGTTTTTATGGATTTAGGTTTTATATTTAAGTCTTTAATCCTTCTTGAGTTGATTTTTTGTATATGGTGTAAGGAAGGGGTCCAGTTTCAATTTTCTGCATATGGCTAGCCAGTTATCCCAGCACCATTTATTGAATAGGGAGTACTTTTCCCGTTGCTTGTTTTTGTCAGGTTTGGCGAAGATCAAATGGTTGTAGACATGTGGCTTTATTTCTGAGCTCTCTACTCTGTTCTGCTTGTCTATGTGTCTACTGTAGCACCAGTACCATGCTGTTTTGGTTACTGTAGCCTTGTAGTATATAGCTTGAAGTCAGGTAATGTGATGCTTCCAACTTTGTTCTTTATGCTTAGAATTGCCTTGGCTATTTGGGCCATTTTTTTTTTTTTGGTCCCATATGAATTTTAAAATAGTTTTTTTCTCATTATGTTAAGAATGTCATTGGTGGTTTGATACATTTTAATCAAAGTTATTTATTGATTTTATTATTTCATTCACAACTACCAACAAAACCTTGAAGCAGATACTATTACTATTCTAATTTTGCAGATGAGGAAACTGTAAGACTTTGCCAAGGCAACTTTGTTAAAAAAGGCAGAGTTGGGATTCTGACTCCAGTTAAAGGGCTCATGCTCTTGAACTACTCTTCCTGTATTTTCCAAGTATATTTCACCAACAATTTGCATCAACATGACCTGGGATAATTGTAAGATATAACTCTCCATGGCTACCACCAGAGATTCCGATTTAGTAAGAATTCCGGGGAGAGCCACAAATCCGGATTACTAACAAGTGATCCAGGTGGACTTTGTGCAGTCTAAAGTCTGTAGACCTCTATATTGTACTATATTGCCTGTTTACAGCAACAATACTTATTTATTTTATTAAAGGGTACGTGATTTTAAAATTTTGATACCTATTACACTTTTGGGAATTTTATCAAGAAGAAAGATAATCCCCTTTTTTGATAGTCCCTAATTGTTATTTTTTTCCCAAGGAGTAAATATGTTAAAATGCTAAGAGATTAATCAAAAGTTTTTCAACGAGTACCTTTTACTGTTTTTTTTAACTCTATATTGGCTTGCTAGGGTTTCCATAAGAAAGTACTACAAACTGCATACCTTAACAGAAATTTATTGTCTCACAGTTCTAAAGGCTAGAAGTTCAAAATTAAGGTGTCAGCAGGACTGGTTCCTTCTGAGGTCTGTGAGAGAGAATTTGTTCCATTCCTGTTGGTTTTCTGACAATGTTTAGCATTTCTTGGCTTGTGGCAGCATAACTCCAATCTTCATATGATGTTATACCTGTGTACAAGTCTGTCTCCAGATTTCTTCTTTTTATAACGACACTTGTCATTGGATTGGGGTCCACCCTAATAACCTCATCTCCATTTAACTAATTGCATCTGCAGTGACCCTATTTCTAAATAATGTCACATTCTTATGTACTGGGGTTAGGACTTTGACACGTGAATTTTGGGAGGACATAGTTTAACCCATATCATACCCAAAGTAACATTCTTAGGTAGTACCCACACTGGTTTCTCAGAACTTTGTTGTTGAGATTTTTTGTTTTCAAATGTTAAATTGGTACCTCCAATTTTGAAGTGGCTGACCAAGCAAGGCTTATCTAAGAATCAAGCTTCATGGGGTTTCATCAGTAACTTCTAAAGAGGGATGCTATCCCGACACCCATTCACAGCTCAGACGATTGATATTGGTGAGATCTGATTAGTTTTTCTCATGCATGACACCAAGAGGCAGGCTTCCCTCCACCCACACTCCCATTTTATTATTTAATAGAAACATACAGCATATCCAGCATTTAGCATTTTTTAGATAGAGTAATAATTATGCAATGCCTGTAAATGGTGCTTTACAGTACCATGTTTTAGAAATAGTAATGGTAGTTTATCAATCCCACCTGTTCCGAGGTGAGGGAAAAATTTTAACATGGCAAAAGTTCTAAAGTCCATGCTGTCTAAAGATCTGCTTTCTAACGATCTCCTGTAACAAATGACAAATTAGCCAGAAAGAGGTTTACATCAATTCACACTTTGACTAACAGATGGTTAGTCTTTTAACTTTTATATAAAGTGCCCATTTTTTTCAAACCCTCACTAACACTGTGTATTATCTACAGCAATTTGATCAAGAATGGTGTGTTATCTTGCTTTCATGTACATATATTTAATTATAAATGAAGTTGAGCATCTTTTCATGTAAGAAATTTCTAGCTATTTTTACAACTGCCTGTAATCTTTGCTCATTTTTTTCTCTTAGGTTGATGGTCTCTTTCATCTCAATTTATTATTATCTTTATATATATTAAAGAGATTAACCCTTTGTTATATTTGTCAAAGAATTTTCCCAAATTTTTTGTCTCTTGATCTTTATGATATTTTAGTTTCTTTATACAAATTTAATAGTAGTATATATTCAAATTTATCAATCTTTTTCTGTACAACCTTGGTTATGTGTCTGGTTGTAGCTTCTGGTCAAAAGTTATTCTTATTTCAAGATTATTATAACAAATATATTTGCTAATTGTTTAAATCTTTATCAGGAATTAATTTGATATAAGGAATGCAGTAGTAATTCAAGTTTATTATTTCTCTCTAAATGACTAGTTGGTTACCTCACTGACAATTATTATATAACCCGTGGTTTTCTTACTGATTTGAAATACCACCTTTATAATGTAATAAGTTTCTGCAAGCATCAGAACCTTCTTTTAAAGTATTTTTTCTGTTATCTTGCCTTTCAATTATTGTACCAGAACCATTTGTAGTTTACATAAATATCTGATAAAGGTTGATCTCCACTCCCTCCATTACCTTTCTCTTTTCAAATTGATAACCTGTCTATTGTCACACATTTATTTTTCCAAATGCACTTTAGGCTTACTTGTCAAGAACTAAGTTGGAGTTGGAGGGAAACTGTATTGCAATGGTATTGTATTACATTTAAAAACGAGAAAGAATCACCATCTTTAAAATACTGAGTCAGTACAAAATGATAAGGTGTATTTTCCCACTGGTGTCCAATTTTATGTCCTTCTCTTAGCCCATGCCTCCCTGTGTGATGCCTTCTGCTGGTATATTATTGCATTTGTTTCCTAACGCTGCTGTAACAAATTACCACACATTTAGTGGCATAAAAAAACAACACAAATGTATTATTCTTCAGTTCTGGAGGTCCAGAATGGGCCCTACCAGTCGAAAATATAGAAAGGGCTGCTTTCCTTTCTGGAGGCTCTAGGGAAGAATCTGTTTTCCTGCCTTTTCCAGCTTCTATGAGCTGCTCACAGTCCTTGATTCATGGTGATATGATTTGGCTGTGTCCCCACCCAAATCTCATCTTGGACTGTAGCTCCCAGAATTCCCGTGATTCCTATGCTGTGGGAGGGATCCTGTGGGAGATAATTGAATTATGGGGGCAGTTCCCCAATACTGTTCTCATGGTAGGGAATAAATCTCATGAGATCTGATGGTTTTATAAGGGGTTTCCCCTTTTGCTTGGCTCTCGTTCTCTCTTGCCTGCTGCCATGTAAGACGTCCCTTGCTCTTCTGCCATGATTGTGAGGCCTCCCCAGCAACATGGGACTGTGAGTCCATTAAACTTCTTTTTCTTTATAAATTACCCAGTCTTGGGTATGTCTTTATGAGCGGCATGAAAACAGACTAATACATATGGCTAACTTCAAGCTCCAAAACCAGTGACAGCCAGTCAGATACCTCGTGTTGCATCACTGACACTGGCTCTCCTTTCTCCCTCTTCTACTTATAATGTCCTTTCTGAGTATAGTGGGCCACCTGGATAATGCAGTATGATCTCCTCATAGCAAGATCCTTGACTTACATCTGCAAAGTTCCTTTTGCTATGTGTTACGTAATGTATTCCTAGTTTCCAGGGATTCAGACATGGACATCTTTCAGAGCCATTATTCTGCCTACCACTGTTACGTGATGCTCCTTCCCCCATGGCTGCCTTTCTGTCATTCATTCTTTGCTCCCACCTAAAGTATCTTCGTTTTAAAAAAAAGTTATTTTTCTTCTGATTTCATATTCATGTTGTAGTTTTTCTTATTTGAATGTCATTGTAAATCTTCAGGGGATACTTTTTCTTGATATTGTGGGAAGATGTCAGAGTAGTCAGACCACTTCCAAAAACTTTCACCTACCTTGAGTCATTTGGAACTGTGAGTCATTTCTAACTTTAAAAAAGCCATAAACCCACACTCTTGTATTAGTGTTACTTCCCCCATTATCAGAAAAAATTCAGGAAGCAGTGAATATATTCAGGTAACTTGTACCATAGTACTAATACAAAACTTCTATTCTGATTCTCTCATTTACTTAGCATCTTAAAACTCGTCTAATTCAAACTGCTATCTTCTACACTCAGAAGATACCTTGTATAGGCTGGGTGTGGTGGCTCACGCCTGTAGTCCCAGCACTTTGGGAGGCTGAGGCAGGTGGATCACAAGGTTAGGAGATTGAGACCATCCTGGCTAACAGGGTGAGACCCTGTCTTTACTAAAAATACAAAAAATTAGCCGGGCGTGGTGGCGGGCGCCTGTGGTCCCAGCTATTGGGAGGCTGAGGCAGGAGAATTGTGTAAACCCAGGAGGCGGAGCTTGCAGTGAGCCAAGATCGCGCCCCTGCACTCCAGCCTGGGCAACAGAGTGAGACTCCGTCTCAAAAAAAAAAAAAAAAAAAAGAAGATGCCTTGTATAGATCAGGCTAGCCTTGAAGACTCCAGGGACAGAGAGTTTGCTACTTAGTAAGCAGCCAGTTTTATACTGCAAAGCTCTAATTATTAGAAATCTTATCATCAGCTGCAATATCTGTCCCTGTTACCATCTCCCCATCTGCATTATTTCTACTTCCTTAGAGATAGATAACAATTCTAATCACTATTTTACCTTTTAAATGTTTGTCATACACGTTCCTCAGCACCTTTTCTTATTTAATCTTTTCTCACATGACAGGGGTTTAATACTCACCATTTTCCTCACTTATGTTCACAGAAAACGGTCCATTTGGTCTTTGCCTCTCCTCAAGTGTCAGCCCCAGCACCAAGCCAAGTGCATCATGTGTGATTCCCCTGTAGTGTCAATTAAGATGCTTTAGTTTTCCCATGTGGCTAAGAATAGAGCTGTGCTAGGAAGCAAATTCAGTGAGATGCCCTATCAAAGTAGTCTAGAAAAGCCTCTAGGCCACCTAATTTCTGATTTGAAAAACTACATTATTGGTACTTTTGGGCAACTACTGTGTCTACCTCTGGGTTCCTGATTGTTGCTAAGATCTTTCGTAAGTCAGAAGGCCAAGTCTCCCCCAGTCTCTTTGATGAATAAGACCTTGCACAGCCTTACTAAAGGAAATTCAGCACAATCCAGTTAGCCCGCCTTTTATGAAATTGTGAAGCCAGATCATTCCCAATACTAATTAGCACTGAAGAGTGGAGGCCTGTCACTCTTTCTAGGTGAAATATCATACTTGTATTAAATCAGCTAATGTCACATTAATTTCTTTAACTGGCATGTTACAGTCTGACTCATACTGTCAGCTGTAACTCCTAATATTTTTTTCATAGTATTGCTAATCCACATAGCTCCATGATGAATTTTTTATAACTCTTTTCTCTACTGAAGCATAGAACCTTTTACTGAGTCACTAATAAAGTTTGACTTGTTATATTCTGCCCACCACTGATAGTTTTAAATGTTATAGAAAACACAGTGTAAACAACGTATGAACGCTTATTATATAGATTTCTTATTGCCAATATTTATTTTTCTTGGGGGGCATAATGTTCTCTTTACTTATTAAGTGCTGTCAGTATGCATGATTAGTCACTTTGAAGCAGTACTATTTGGTCTGCACATTGCACAATTGACAGTAGCAGGTAGGATAAAGGAATCTAAGTAAGGCAAAGCATCAAAGCTATTCATTCCCATTGGAGCTGTAAATTTAGGTGGCACAGGGCCTAAAGGACCTGTTTGGGATTCAGGGACTGGACATCAATCTCTTGGAAGAGAACTGTCAAAGACCAAGGCAGAGAACACAGTCCTAGGCCTGCTACTATTGTAAAAATTCAAGTACAAAAACAAGTCTAGGATCCATAATCAGGCATTAGAAAAACAGTAAGGAGAAGACTAGGAAGGACTTTGTATTGTGGTTTGAGAGCCAGCTTACCTGCAGTAGAATAGAACATCAGGTAAACTTAAAAGGTTTTCGACTCCAATCTCTGCTTCTCAAACAGCATTTCTGGACCCACCCAGGACCTAGGGGAACTTCCCGCCCTAAAGGGAAGGACACAGACCTGGCTGGCTTTGCTACCTGCTGATCACTGAGCCCTAGTGCCTTGAGTCAACAGAGGTGGTAGCCAGAAAGTGTTTACAGTGTGTGTGGGGCAAGACCCAGTGCTGTGCTGGCTTCAAGTCTGACAGAGCACAGTTTCAATGGCTGTGGCCACAGGGGTGCTTGCATCACCATACCCCAAGTTCCAGGTGGCTCAGCAGAGAGAGAGAGAGAGCGAGAGATTGAGAGAGAGACACTGACTCTATTTGTTTAGGAGAAAGTAAGGAAAGAGAACAAGAGTCTCTGCCTGGTAATCAAGAGAATCATTTCAGATCTTATCCAAGATCACCAAAATGATACTTCTATGAGTCTGCAAAAACCACAGCATTAGGGGGCTTAGAACCTAGGTCCCTTTGAGTATCTGGAAAGCCTTGCCAAGAAGGACAGGCACAAACAAGCCTGTACTGCGAAGACTACAATAAAGGCCTAACTCTTCAGTGTCCAGACATTGATGAACATCTACAAGCATCAAGACCATCCTGGAAAATATGACCTCACCAAATAAACTCAGTAAGGCACTAAGGACTAATCCTGGAGAAACAGAGGTACATGACCATTCAGACAGATAATTCAAAATAGCTGTGTTGAGGAAACTCAAAAGAAATTCAAGATAAGATACAGAAGGAATTCAGAATTCTATTACATAAATTTAACAAAGAGAATGAAATAATTAAAAAGAATCAAGTAGAAATTCTGGAGCTGAAAAAACGCAATCAACACACTGAAGAATGCATCAGAGTCTTTTAATGGTAGAATTGATCAAGCAGCAGAAGAAAGTGAGCTTCAAGACAGGCTGTTTAAAAATACACAGTCAGACCAGGAACAGTGGCTCATGTCTGTAATCCCAGCACTTTGGGAGGCTGAGGCAGGCAGATCACCTGAGGTTGGGAGTTCGAGACCAGCCTGACCAACATGGAGAAACCCCATTTCTACTAAAAATACAAAATTAGCTGGGCATGGTGGTGGGCACCTGTAATCCCAGCTACTTAAAGGCTGAAGCAGGAGAATCGTTTGAACCAAGGAAGTGAAGGTTGCAGTGAGCTGAGATCATGCCATTGCACTTCAGCCTGGGCAACAAGAGCGAAACTCCATCTCAAGAAAACAAAAAACTAAACAAAACAAAAAACACAGTCAGAGGAAGCAAAAGAAAAAACAACAAAAAACAATAAAGCGCAACTACAGGCTCTGGAAAATAGCCTCAAAAGGTCAAATCTAAGAGTTATTGGCCTTAAAGAGGAGGTGGGGGTAGAAAGTTTATTCAAAGGGATAATACTGGAGAACTTCCCAAATCTAGAGAAAGATATCAACATTCAAGTACAAGAAGATTATAGAATGCAAGCAGATTTAAACCAAAGAAGATTACTTCAAGGTATTTAATAATCAAAGTCCCAAAGGTCAAGGATAAAGGAAGGATCCTAAAAGTAGCAAAAGAAAAGAAACAAATAACAAATAACAGCTCCAATATGTTTGGCAGCAGACTTTTTAGTAGAAACCTGGCAGGCCAGGAGAGAATGGCATGACATATTTAAACGGCTGAAGGAAAAAAACTTTTACCCAGGAATAGTATATCTGGTGAAAATATGCTTTAAGCATGAAAGATAAATAAAGATCTTCCCAGACAAACCAAAGCTAAGGGATTTCATCAACAACAGACCTGTCCTACAAGAAATGTTAAAGGGAGTTCTTAAATCTGAAAGAAGAGCATGTTAATGAGCAAGAAGAAATCATCTATAGGTACAAAAGTTACTGGCAATAATAAGCACACAGAAAAAAACAGAGAATATTATAGCACTGTAATTGTGGCATGTAAACTACTCATATCTTAAGTAGAAAGATTATACAATGAGCCAATCAAAAATAACAACTACAACAACGTTTGAAGACATACACAATACAATAATACATAAAGAGAAGCAACAAGAAGTTAAAAAGCAGGCAGACAAAGTTAAAGTGTAGAGCCTTCATTAGTTTACTTTTTGCATGTTTGTTTAAGCAATCATTGTTAAATTGTCACCAGTTAAAATAATGGATTATTAGATGGTATTTGCAAGGCTCATGGTAACCTCAAATCAAAATACATACAATGGATATACAAAAAATAAAAAGGAAGAAATTAAATCATAGCACCAGAGAAAATCACTTTCACTAAAAGGGAGAAAAGACAGAAGGAAAGAGGGAAGAGAATACTGAATGAGAGTCTGAATGAGAAGACTGACTTCAAATAGAGTGGCCGAATAGGTGAAAAAACAAGAGCCAATGATCTGTGCCTGCAAGAAACACACATCATCTATAAAGATACAAATAGACTGAAAATAAAAGGATGGAAAAAGATATTCCAAGCCACTGGAAACCAAAAAAGAATAGGAATAGCTATATTTATATCAGACAAAGTAGATTTCAAGACAAAAACTATAAGACAAGTCAGACAAAGAAGGTCGTTATATAATGATAAAAGGGTCAATTCAGCAAGAGGATATAACACTTATAAATATGTGTGCACCCAACCATGGGGCACCCACATATATAATGGAAACATTATTAGAGCTAAAGAGACAGATAGGCCTTAATACAATAATAGCTAGGTCTTCAACATCCCACTTTCAGGATTGGACAGATCTTCAAACAGAAAATCTACAAAGAAACATTGAACTTAATCTATACTATACATCAAATTCACTTAATAGATACTTACAAAACATCTCACTCAGTGACTGAAGAATACACATTCTGTTCCTTAGCACATGGATCATTCTCAAGGATAGGCCATATGTTAGCTCACAAAACAAATTTGAAAACATTCAACCAAATTTAGATAATATTAAGCATTTTCTCTGGCCAAAATGGAATAAATATAATCAATAACAAGAGGAATTTTGGAAACTATACAGACACATGAAAATTAAACAATATGCCCTGAAATGACCAGGGGTCAATGAAGAAATTAAGAAGGAAATTGAAAAATTTCTCAAAACAAACCATAATGGAAACACAACATACCAAAATGTATAGGATATAGTGAAAGCAGTACTAAGAGGAAAGTTTATCCTATAAGTGTCTACATCAAAAGGAAGAAACACTTCAAATAAACAACCAATTGGTGCATCTTAAAGAATTAGAAAAGCTAGAGCAAACCAAATTTAAAATTAGTAGAAAAGAAATATTAAAAATCAAAGCAGAGATAAATGAAATTGAGATGAAGAAATCCATACAAGATATCAGTAAAACAAAAAGTTGTTTTTTTGAAAAGATAAACATTGGCAAACCTTTAGCCAGACTCAGATTGACAGACCTTTATCTAGACTAAGAAAAAAAGAGAGAAGATCCAAATAAATTCAGAGATGAAAAAGGAGACATTACAACCTATAAAGCAGAAATTCAGAGGATCATTAATGGGTTCTATGAGTAACTATAGGCCGATAAATTGGAAAACCCAGAAGAAATGGATAAATTACTAGACACAGACAACCTATCAAAATTGAGCCATAAAGAAATTCAAAACCTGAACAGACTAATAACAAGTAATGAGATTGAAGGTGTAATAAAAAGTCTCCCAGCAAATAAAAGCCTAGGACCTGATGGCTTCACTGCTGAATTCTACCAAACATTTAAAGAACTAATACTAATCCTACTGAAACTATTCCAAAAAGTAGAGGAGGAGAGAATACTTCCAAACTCATTCTACAAGACCAGCATTACCCTGATACCAAAACCAGACAAAGACCCATAAAAAAAAATACTGGTCAGTATCTCTGACTAATATTAATGCAAAAATCCTCAACAAAATGTTAGCAAACTGAATTCAACAATATATTAAAAAGATGTTTTATCATGACCAAGTGGGATTTATCCCTAGGAGGCAAGGATGGTTCAACATATGCAAATCAACCAATATAATACATCATATCAACAGAATAAAGGATAAAAACCATATGATCATTTCAATTGATGCTGAAAAAGCATTTGATGAAATTCAACATCCTTTCATCACAGAAAACCTTCAAAAAACTGAGTATAGAAGGAACATATCTTAACATAATAAGAGCTATATATGACAGACCCACAGCTAGTATCATACTGACTGGGGAAAAACTGAAAGCCTTTCCTCCAAGATCTGGAACACAACAAGGATTATCACTTTTGCCACCGTTAGTCAGCATAGTACTGGAAGTCCTAGATAGAGCAATCCAACAAGAGAAAGATATAAAGGGCATCCAAATTGGAAAGGTAGAAGTCAAAGTATTCTTGTTGGCTATATATATTCAAGCGATTCTCCTGCCTCAGCCTCTTGAGTAGCTGAGATTACAGGCGCCCACCACCACACCCAGCTAATTTTTTTTTTTTTTTTGTATTTTTACTAGAGACAGGGTTTCACCACATTGGTCAGGCTAGTCTCGAACTCCTTACCTCAGATGATCCGCCCATCTTGGCCTCCCAAAGTGTTGGGATTACAGGTGTGAGCCACCACACCTAGCATGATCTTATATTTGGAAAAACCTAAAGACTCCACCAAAAAGAATGAGAATTGATAAATTTAGTAGTGTCAGGATACAAAATCAACATACAAAAATCAGTAGCATTTCTATATGCCAACAGTGAACAACCTGAAAAAGAAATCAAAAGAGTTATTGCACTTACAATAGCCACAACTAAAATTAAATAACTAGGAATTACCTAAAGAAGTGAAAGATCTCTACAATGAAAACTATAAAATACTGATGAATGAAATTAAAGATCATACAAGAAAATGAAAAGATATTTCATATATATAGATTGGTAAAATCAGTATTGTTGAAATATCCATACTACCCAAAGCAATGTACAGATTTAATGCAATCCCTACTCAAATACCAATGATATTTTTCACAGAAATAGAAAATGCAATTCTAAAATTTATATGGAACTACAAAAGACCCAGAAGAAACAAAGCTATCCTGAGAAGAAAAGAACCACACTGGAGGAATCACGTTACCTGGATTCAAATTATACTACAGAGCTATGGTAACCAAAACAGCATAGTACTGCATAAGAACAGGCATATTGACCAATGGAATAGAATAGAGAACACAGAAACAAATCCACACATCTACAGTGAACTCATTTTTTACAAAGGTGCCAAGAACATACATTGGGAAAAAAACAGTCTTTTTTTTTTAAATTAATTTTATTTTAAATTCCAGGATACACATGGAGAACATGCAGGTTTGTTACATAGGTAAATATGTGCCATGGTGGTTTGCTGCACCTATCCACCCATCACCTAGGTGTTAAGCCCCACATGCATTAGCTATTTATCCTGTTGCTTTCCCTCCCCCTGCCTCCCTGACAGGGTCCTGGGTGTGTTGTTCCCCTCCCTGGGTCCATGTGTTCTCATTTTTTAGCTCCCACTTATGAGTGACAACATGAGGTGTTTGGTTTTCTCTTCCTGTGTTAGTTTGCTGAGGATAATGGCTTCCAGCTTCATCTATGTCCCGGCAAAGGACATGATCTTGTTCCTTTTTATGGGTGCATAGTATTCTGTGCTGGCAAAACTTGATACCTATATGCGGAATAATGAAACTAGAACCTTATCTCTCCCCATATACAAATATCAAATGAAAATAGATTAAAGACTTAAATCCAAGATGTCAAACTATGAAACTGCCATAAGAAAAGTTTGGGGAAACTCTCCAGGGCATTTGGTCTGGGCAAAAAGTTTTTGAGTAATACCCCTCAAGCACAGGCAAACACAACAAAAATGGACAAATGGGAGCACATCAAGTTCAAAAGCTTCTGCACAGCAAGGGAAACAACACAGTGAAGAAGCAACCCACAAAATGGGAGAAAATGCAAACTAATAATCTGACAGGTGATAACTAGAATATAAAAGCAGTCCAAACAACTCTATAGGAAAAAATCGAATAACCCACTTAGAAAATGGGCAACAGATTTGAATAGACATTTCTTAAAAGAAGACATACAAATGGCAAACAGGCATATGAAAAGGTGCTCAGCATCACTGATCGTCAGAGACATGCAAATCAAAACTACAATGAGATATCATTTCACCCCAGTTAAATGACTTTTATCCAAAAGACAGGCAATAACAAATGCTGGTGAGGATGTGGAGAAAAGGGAACCATGGTACACTGTTGGTGGGAATGTGAGGAGAACAGTTTGGAGGTTCCTCAAAAAACTAAAAAGGGAGCTATCATGTAATTCAGCAATCCCATTGCTGGTTATATACACCCCCCACCCCCAAAGGAAAACACTATATGGAAGAGATGGCTCTACTCCCATATTTGTTGCAGCACTGTTTACAATAGAAAAATTTGGAAGCAATCTAAGTGTCCATCAAGAGAAGAATGGATACAGAAACTGTGGTACTTATACACAGCAGAGTACCTATTCAACCGTAAAAGAGAGATCCTTTTATTTGCAACAACATGGATAGAACTGGAGGTCATTACGTTAAGTGAAATAAACCAGGCATGGAAAGACAAATATCACATGTTCTCACTTATTTGTGGAATCTAAATGTCAAAATAATTGTACTCATGGAGACATAAAGTAGGATGATGGTTTCCAGAGGCTGGGAAGAATAGTGGGGGTCTGAGGGTGGGAGTTGTGGATGGTTATTGGTTCAAAACATAGTTAGAAAGAATAAATAAAATGGAGTATTTGATATCACAACAGGGGCGCTATAGTCAATAACAATTTAATTGTATATTTTAAGATAACTAAAAGGGTATAATTGGACTTACGTAACACAAGGATAAATGCTTGAAGGGATGGATACCCCATTTTCCATGATGTAATTATTACATATTGCTTGCCTTTATCAAAATATCAAATGTACCACATAAATACATATACCTGCTATACACCCACAAAAGTTGCATATTTAAAAGTTTTTTTTTTTTTAAATGATAGAGGCCAAATGTCAAGAAAAAAGCAAAAACTACTAATCTATTTTGAGCCCAATATTGCTAGACTGGAGAAAATTGAGTCTTGAAGGAGTCAGAAATTGTTGCATTGCAGTCCTTTTAATCCCTCTTGCCTATTACCAGGATTAACCATCAAGGATATGTTGGCAGTTAATCTGTGTATTGAGGTCAACGTTTCCCAGTGCAGGGAAGGGGACATACAAAGGCTTGAAAATTGGCAGAGCTAGATACTACCTAACGATGTGCAGAGTGTCCTCTTTCCCTTAGTTCTGGCAATAAATATCTGGTCATAGTCATTTTTATCTTTGACACAATCACATGAACACTAGATCTGGTGCCAGAAGACCAAGGTTGGATCCCTAACATTTCCATTAACAAGATGCTTAATATTGGACAAGTCACTTAATAATTTCAGTCCTAGTTTCTGGATGGCGGTGATAGTAGCATTGGCTGGATTGTTGTGAGGGCTAAATGAGAATCATCTGGGCAAATAAAATAGTATTCACTTTGCAGATGATAAAACACTGCATAAATATAAGTTGTAATTCTTCCCACAGTGGGGAATTTGTGGTAGTTTTGGATTTGTGATAGTTTGAATCTGTGATTGTTTTTGGATGACATTGTTTCAGACTTTGACAAATGTTTATTAAATACGTACTATATGAAGATTATCATGGTTCTTGCCCCTATGGTGCTTTAATTCTAGCAGAGGTTGCAAGCCATGAAATTCTAACTGATATGGTAATTTATGCATTTATTTTTTCATCATATATTCATAGAGTCCTACTATGAACATGGAATTTTGCTAGGTGCTAGATAAGTATGTCTTTAGAAATTAATCCCATTTATCTTATCAACTAATGGGATTACGTTTAAACTTATTACTCAAGGAACTTTGTTTCTTCTTTCCTATCTTGTTAATTAAATGAATTTACTATTTAGATCATTAATGTATTTAATGAAATCATTCAGCAAGGAAATTCTGAGATATTATGAGAGACCGTGTTAAATGTTTAAAAAGAATCAACGTGTTCTATGACTAGCATTTTATGATTCTCTCATCAAATAAAGTTATGATGAAAATAAATGAGTTTGCTTTGACCTTACTTACTCTTAGAAGCTTCAAGCTAGTTTTGAAAATGAATTGATTAGAAGAGAGGCAGGACTGGAGACAAAGAAGATACTTTGGAAGTTGTTCCAGCAGTTCAGGTGAAATATAATGGTGGTCTGGACTAGCATGCGGTAGCTGGGGTGGAGAGAAATAAATGTGTTTGAGGTATAATTCAATGGCAAAGTATAGGACTTGAGGATTTATTGGGAATGACAGAGAAAGAATGAAAAGTGAACCATATCCCAGGTTCTTTTAGTGCCTGGATATATGGAAGTATTGATTACTGATAGGGAACAAATGAGAAGGAATGATTTGAGGAAAACTTAACAAAATGTTTCAAATTTTTTCTTTTTGAAAAATAAACATGAAGTTAATAATTAATGCCTTGGGAAAGATTAACATGATGAAAGATTTATCCTACCAGATAGTAAAATCAATTTAAACGCTCCACTAATCAAGACAGTGTAATTCTGGTACAGACATACTTCACAAATGTTGTGAGTTTGGTTTCAACCACCACAATACAGTGACTATTACAGCAAAGCCAGTCACATGATTTTTTTGGTTTCCCAATGCATATTAAAGTAATGTTTACACTATACTGTAGTTTATGAAGTGTGCAATAGCATTATGTCTAAAAAAGAGTACATACCTAATTAAAAATACTTTATTACTAAAACATGCCAACGATCATATGAGCCTTCAGTGAGTCATAATTTTTTGCTGGTGGAGGGTCTTGCCTTGATTTGAATGGCCACTGACTGATCAGAGTAATGGTTGCTGGAGCTTAGGTGACTGTGACAGTTTTTTTTTTTTCTTTCAACTTTTAAGTTCCAGGGTACATGTGCAGGATGTGCAAGTTTGTTAGGTAAACGTGTGCCATGGTGGTTTGCTGCACAGATCAGCCTATCACCTAGGTATTAAGCCTAGCATCTATTAGCTATTCTTTCTGACGGTCTCCTCTCCCTGCCTCCCTGACAGGCCCCAGTGTGTGTTTTTCCCCCCATGTGTCCATGTGTTCTCATTGTTCAGCTCCCACTTATAAGTGAGAACATGTGGTATTTGGTTGTCTGTTCCTGCATTAGTTTGCTGAGGAAAATGGCTTCCAGCTCCATCCATGTCCCTGCAAAGGACATGATCTCATTCCCTTTTATGGCTGCATAGTATTCCATGGTGTATATGTACCACATTTTCTTTATCCAGTCTATCATTGGTGGCCATTTGGGTTGACCCCATGTCTTTGCTATTGTGAACAGTGCTGTAATGAACTTATATGTGCATGTATCTTTATAATAGAATGATTTATAATACTTTGGGTATATACCCAATAATGGGATTGCTGGGTCAAATGCTTTTTCTCCTTCTAGATCTTTGAGGAATCACCACACCATCTTCCACAATGGTTGAACTAATTTACACTCCCACCAACAGTATGAAAGCATTCCTTTTTTTTTCTGCAACAAGCCAGCATCTGTTGTTTCTTGACTTTTTAATAATCATCATTCTGACTGCATGAGGTGATCTCATTGTGGTTTTGATTTGAAATTCTCTAATGATCAGTGTTGTTGAGCTTTTTTTCATGTTCGTTGGACAATGAATGTCTTTTTTTGAGAAGCGTCTGTTTATGTCCTTTGCCCGCTTCTTAATGGAATTGCTTTTTTCTTATATATTTAACTTCCTTATAGATTCTGGATATTAGACTTTTGTCAGATGGATAGATTGCAAAAATTTTATCCCACTCTGTAGGTTGTCTGTTCACTCTGTTGATAGTTTCTTTTGCTGTGTAGAAGCTTTTTAATTTAATTAGATCCCATTTGTCAATTTTTGTTTTTGTTGCAATCACTTCTGGCATTTTCAGCATGAAGTCTTTGCCCATGCCTATGTCCTGAATGGTATTGCCTAGATTTTCTTCTAGGGTTTTTATAGTTTTACATTTTATATTGAAATCATGAATCCATCTTTAGTTAATTTTTGTATAAGGTGTAGGGAAGGGGTCCAGTTTCAATTTCCTGCATATGGCTAGTCAGTTCTCCCAGCACCATTTTTAAAATAGAGAATCCTCTCTCCATTGCTTGTTTTTGTCAGGTTTGTCGAAGATCAGATTGTTGTAGATGTGTGATATTATTTCTGAGTTCTCTATTCTGTTCCATTGGTCTATGTGTCTGTTTTTGTCACCAGTTCCATGCTTTTTTCATTACTATAGCCTTGAGTATAGTTTGAAGTCAGGTAGCGTGATGCCTCCAACTTTTTTCATTTTGCTTGGGATTGTCTTGGCTATTCGGGCTCCTTTTGGTTCCATATGAATTTTAAATTAGTTTTTTTCTAATTCTGTGAAGAATGTCAATGGTAGTTTAATGGGAATAGCATTGTCTATAAATTACTTTGGACAGTATGGCCATTTTCACGATATTGATTCTTCCTATCTGTGAGCATGGAATGTTTTTCCATTTGTTTGTGTCATCTCTGATTTCCTTGAACAGTGGTTTGTAGTTCTCCTTAAAGAGGTCCTTTGCCTCACTTATTAGCTGTATTCCTAGCCATTTTGCTCTCTTAGTAGCAGTTGTGAATGGCAGTTCATTCATGATGTGGCAGTTCATTCATGATTTGCCTGCAGAAAAGGCCATTGATAAAATTCAACATCCCTTCATGGTAAAAATTCTGAATAAACTAGGTTTTGAAGGAACATACCTCAAATAATAACAGCCATATATGACAAACCCACAGCCAACATCATACTGAATGGGCAAAAGCTGGAAGCATTCCCCTTGAAAACCAGCACATGACAAGGATGCTGTCTCCACCACTCCTATTCAACATAGTATTGGAAGTCCTGGCCAGGGCAATCAGGCAAGAGAAAGAAATAAGGGGTATTCAAATAGGAAGAGAAGAAGTCAAACAATATTTGTTTGCAGATCACATGATCCTGTATCTAGAAAGCCCCATCATCTCAGCCCAAAAGCTTCTTAAGCTGATAAGCAATTTCAGCAAACTCTCAGGATACAAAATCAGTGGGCAGTTTCTTAAAATAAGGGAACAATGTAGTTTTGCTGAATTATTTGAGTCTTCCTTTCATGAAAGATTTCTTTGTAGCATGCAAAGCTGTTTGATAGCATTTTACTCACACTAGAACTTCTTTCAAAATTGGAGTCAATCCTCTCAAACCCTGCCACTGCTTTATCAATGAAGTTTATGTAATATTCTAAATCCTTTGTTATCATTTCTACAATGTTCACAGCATCTTCACCAGGAGTGTATTTCATCTTAAACCACTTTGTTCGCCTGTAAGAAGCAACTCCTCATCCATTCAAGTTTTATCATGGGATTACAGCAATTCAGTCCTATATTCAGGCTCCACTTCCAGTTCTCTTGCTATTTATCCGTCACATCTGCAGTTACTTCCTCCACCAAAGTCAAACCTATCAAAGTCCTCCCTGAGGGTTGGAGTCAACTTCATCTAGACTCATTGATGTTGACTTCATCTGATGAATCACAAATGTTCTGAATGGCATCTAGAATGGAAAATCTTGTCTAGGTTTTCAATTTACTTTGCTCAGTTTCATCAGAGGAATCACTTTCTATGACAGCTATAGCCTTATATAATGTATTTCTTAAATAATAAGACTTGAGACTCTAAATTAATCCTTGATCTATGGGCTGGAGAATACATGCTGTGTTAACAGTCATGAAAACAACGTTAATCTCTTCGTACAGCTCTATCAGAGCTCTTGGGTGATCTGTGGCTTTGTCAATGAATAGTAATATTTTGAAAGGAATCTTTTCTTGTGAATAGTAGGTCTCAATAGTGGGCTTAAAATATTCAGTAAATTATGCTGTAAACAGACATGCTGCCAACAGACATGCTGTCATCCAGATTTGTTGTTTCATTTATAGAGCATAGGAAAAGTTGATTTAGCATCATTTTTAAGGAATCTAGGATTTTTGGAGTGGTAAATGAGCATTGGCTTCAACTTAAAGTCATCAACTGCACTAGCCCCTAACAAAAGAGTTGGACTGTCCTTTTAAAGTTTGAAGCCAAGCATTGACTTCTCTTCTCTAGCTGTGAAAGTCCTAAATGACATCTTCTGGTATGAGGCTGTTTCATCTACATTGCAAATCTATTGTTTAGTGTAGTCACCTTCATCAATTGTCTTAGCGGGATCTTCTGGATAACTTGTTGCAGCTTCTCCATTAGCATTTGATGCTTCACCTTGCACTTTTATGTTATGGAGATAGTTTCTTTCCTTAAGCCTTATGAACTAACCACAGCCAGCTTCAAACTTCTGCAGCTTCTTCACCTCTGGCAGCCTTCATTGAATTAAAGAGAATTAGAGTCTTGCTCTGGATTAGGATTTGGCTTGTGTGAATGTTGTGGCTGGTGTGATCTTCTATCCAGACCACTGAAACTTTCTCCATATCAGCAATAAGACTGTTTCCCTTTCTTATCATTTGTGTGTTCACTGGAGTAGCACTTTTAATTTCCTTCAAGAACTTTTCCTTTGCATTCACAGCTTGGTAGCTGTTTGGCACAAGAGGCCTAGCTTTTTGACATGTCTTCTTCACTAACCTTAATCATTGTTAGCTTTTTATTTAAAGTGAGAGACATGTGACTCTTCTTGAATTTGAACTCTTAGAGGCCATTGAAGGGTTACTAATTGGCCTAATTTCAATATTGTTGTGTCTCAGGAAATAGGGAGGCCCAAGGAGAAGATGAGACAGGGGAATGGCTGGTCGGTGGAGCAGTCAGAACACATACTACACTTATGCATTAAGTTCACTGTTTTATATGATTGTGGCTTGTGGCATTCCAAAACAATTACAACAGTAACATCAAAGCTCACTGATCACAGATGGCCATAACAGATATAATAATAATGAAAAATTTGACATATTAGGAGAATTACCAAAATGTGACACAAAATAAGAACATGTTGGAAAAATGGTGCTGATAGACTTGCTCAATGCCCGGTTGCCATAAATCTTTATTTTTTTAAAAATGCAATATCTGTAAAACACGATACACCTTGAGGTATGCCTGTACTAGAATAGACATATATATGGAACCAATTAGAAAGTCCAGATACAGATTCAATTATATGTAAACATAAGTCATATATGTATTATCACAGGAATTCTATTTCAAAATAGTTGAATATGTAAACAAAATATATGAACAAAAATGTTTCCTTCAAAGCAAAACATTAAAATTTCAATATGATAGGATTGGCCAAATAAATTATGACCAGGTATATATTGGGACCCAAGTTCATCATGTAGACATATAATTGTCATTGAAAAGGGTATAAAATATATCATTAGAGGTAAATAACAGATTAGGAAATATTTTATATAATACTATACTTATATATAATATTTTAATAAGATTTACAGAATATCCTTTGAACCCTCCTGCCACTTTGGGTAGAAAACTGCAAATGCTATCCTTAAGATTCTATAGAATCTACAGGGCATACAATTTCCATTCTCATTATCATCTCTTGATTTCATTTATTTTTCTCGTCTGCTGTCTGTTCTTGACTCTTCCCCATCACTACTAGAATAGGCAGCATAACCCTGGTTACTTGCTCCAAGAGACTTCATATGGGAAAATTTATAATAACATTATCCTAAATAACAAAACACCTAGGAAACATTTAAAAGTCCATTGTCAGGAGAATGTGTAAATGAATTGTGGTAATCTTAAACAATGAGCTCCTGTACCACACTGAAAATAGATGAAATTCAGAAACATAATCTTGATTGAGAAAAATCACAGAAGAACTAGAGCATTTGATACTATATATATAAAGTTTGAAAGCATACAGTACTAAAAATTTATTTTTTATTGATACTTACATGTATAGTTAAAATTTAACACAGTCCAAGCAATTAAAAACACAAAGCTCAGAAAGCATTTAGCCCTGGTAGAGGAGGAAAAAGGGTAAAATTGGAAAGATGAACATGGGGTGGGTTGGGGGACAGGTTTCAATGATACAATGGTAATATTCTACCTCTTAAACTGAGTAGTGGACACATGGATCCATTTTTTTAAAAAAATTATCTTGCATATCCTCTTTTGACGGTCACTTGTCAGATATTTTGTTCAACTATCTCTCTTTCTTGACATTGAAATATTTGGTTACAAAAGCATTGTTTCACTATCTTCGTTTTTACCAACTCCTTCCCGCGGGGGCCTCACCTTCCCTAAGGAAGCCAGGTTCTACAAAGACTTACATTCTAAGAAGAAATTATGGCCCTCCATTAGGAAGCAGAAGAGGGAGTACTTCATTATTGTTTAAAATATTTTTTCTTTCCTTTGCACATACTCACATGTCCACACACATTCACAGAGTGAAACAGTCTGGGAGGATGGTCACCAAAATATTACCCTCAGTTATCTCAGCATGCTTGATTTTCATGTGATTATTTTCCTCTTTCTTTATGTTTTCAAATTATTCTCTAATAAACCTATATACTTCATTTTTAAGGAAGAAAGCAAATTAACCCATGCTTTGTGATTAAATTTCAAAGTGGTTTTCGAGGCTTTAAAAATCCTCAGAAGTGTTCATACACACTGTAAAATTCCAACTTAACTAAATCCATGGGTTGTTTTGATTAATTTAATTTCAGGATGGAACTAGGAGTTTAACTGGAGACTCTTTTTTTCCATAGAATCTTTACAATCTTATCGTTGTAATCTCAGTTTTTCACTTTTTATATGCAAACTGGTGAACAATATTAACTGAACTGAAAGGCAAAATAATTTACATTTGAAAAAAAATCATTTCCATAACTTGTAGTTAGCTTTGTTTAAAGGACACTAGAGACTGTTCAGTTGATCAATACATATTTATTGAGCATCAACTCATCAACTATTGGCAGGACCTGTATTAGATTCTAGGGACAGAGTAGTGGACAAGACAAATTCCAGCCTTCATGGAGCTTATAGTAACCTGTTGGACTCATTGTACAATGTGTTTCATCCACAATTTTATCAGCAGATAATTCTGCTGGAAGATTTTCAGTAATGAGGACTTCCTTCTGTTGCTTTATAATGCTATTTGTTAACTCATTTTATAGTGCCTTTTTATTTTAAAAGGTAAACAATATCATTAATTCATAGAAAATTATTTTTTGTATTGAGCCAAATTTGCCCTTCTTGACTTATAAACATTAGTCTTTGTCTTGTCTTTATGGGCCTTAGAATAAATCTACCACATCAACTTTTCTCCATCCCCCCTTTGTGGGATAGTTGATGAGGGATAGCCTTTCAAATCATTGAGAAAACTATTATGTGGCTATAAGGCTTCTCTGGATAGAACACTGCAGTTCCTTTCATCATTTCTTCTCTGACATGGTTTCAGAATTATATGCCATCCTGATTACTTTCCTCTGGATGCCTTCTACTTTGTCACCCTTTGTTGTTAAAAATAAATTACTCCCAATTTCCTGCTTTCAATGGAGTATCATGACCATAATTGACTCTCTGATGTGTGAGGGTCTGGTATTGTCTGAAAGCAATTACCCTGACCTTGAATTCTGCTGTACTGTAGAAAAACTAGGAATTCGTACTAAATCTTTATCAGCCCTAGAATATACTTAGGGAGATTTTTCAAAAATATTAGTCTATTTTCTTATTTGTCTTTTTCTTGATTGTGAGGCATACTTTATAAAAGTAGCACATACAGATGGTCTGCAACTCATGATGGTTCAACTTACGAGTTTTTGACTTTGCAATGGTGTGAAAGCAGTGTATGTTCAGTAGAAACCGTACATCAGATTTTGAATATTTTCCTGGGCTAGCAATATACCCTATGATAGATAACTCTCTCATGATGCTGAGCAGTGGTAGCAAGCCACAACTCCCAGTCAGCCACAAAACCACAAGGGTAAGTAACTAATATTCTACAATGTACTGTGTTACCAGATGATTTTGCCCAACTATACGCTAATGTAAGTGTTCTGAGCACATTTAAGGTAGGCTAGGCTAAGCTATGCTGTTTGGTAGGTTAAGTGTATTAAATGCAGTTTCTACTTACAATATTTTCAACTTACTTTGGGTTTTTTTGTAAAGCTGAGGAGGATCTGTAGCAAAAATAAAATATGATTAATTGTGAATTTCATCATGCAGAATTTCACAGTCTTCTCCAGCAGACTGTGAACTTCTTCAGAGCAAGGATTATGTCTCATTAGTTTAAAAACAGTCCAGCATTTAGCACATTATATATATATACATATATATATAATATATAAATATGCTATATATATTCTACATATATATAGTAGATGCCCAATAAGTATTTGTTGACCAATTAATGCCTTATGTACAGGAAATCAAAATCTTATAAAATGAAATAAATTCTAATTTTTAGAATATATCAAAGAATCAATCATATAGAACTGGACCTATATTTTATCCTAACCTGAAAAGAGTACCTTAGTATATTAGTTAATGGTATTTACAAGGAAAGATACTAGTGTGCTGGATGGCAAGACATTTAACTCTAAATGACAGAAAACCCAATTAGCAATGGCTCAAACTGTAAGAATGTTATTATTTATGTAAGAAGACTGGAGAAACTGGCCCTGGGTCTATTTGAGCAGCTCAATGATATGATCAATGTCCCAGGCTCTTTTTATCCTTCTGTTGCCATTCTTGGCTTGTTACCTTTTTGATCTGAAGATTCTTGCCTTTTGGTCACAAAATGCTTGCCCTAGCTCCAGATATCAAAACTGCATCCAAAGAGAGGAGCCTGGGGATGGCCTTGGCTCTGAAAGAGCCTCCTTATATGCTTCTTCCTTGGGGAAAAATTTTTTCCCACCAGCCTTTTAGCAAACTTCATCTTACATCTAATGGGCCAAAGTTGAGTTATATGGGTGTCTCCGAGTTATATGGGTGTCTCCAGGAGGCCGGCAAAGGAGTAGAGTCTTGGGGATGACTGTTGATTAGTTAACCAGCAGTTTATGCCACAACTAGATAATAGATATATATTACAAAAAAGGGCAATACCTTTACTAATTCAGTAATAAATTCAGTCCTTTTAAATTATGAGGACTCTTAAAAATATCACTGATATTGGGTTTACATGATTCTATAATTTATTCAAACAGATGAATCATCAGCTGTCAATCACTTTGGAAAGAACTAATGAACCTGATTATCTTTTCTAGTTTTTATAAATTAAACAAGGCTGTTTCTTCATCACAAAGCTGTTTTTATTTTTTCTTCTTTTCAGGAGTCCTATCCAAAGAAGAGAAATTACACTATGGAAATTGTACCATCTGCTTCTCTGGATACATTTCCTTCAGAAAATGAGAACTTTCTGTGTGATCTCATGGACACAGCTGTTACAAAGAAACCTTGCTCCTTAGAAATTGCAAGGGCACCTTCCCCAAGAACTGGTAATATCTCTTACTCACAATTGGCCTGATTCAATTTACTTGCTTATTCATATGAAGATGCATCATTAACATTTTGGTTTCCTACTATGTTATCAAAATGAAAGTTCCCCCAATGTAGTTCCAATAATTATTTTTTCATTTTGAAGTGAGTCCAGGTAGGTCAGAAGGTTTTTTATTTGAAGTCTCCTAACTTCCTGGTAAAAGCCATAATGGACATGGTAATGCTTTGATGAAGATGCTTTGAAACCTTTTAATACTGAAAAAACCTTCTAGGTAAGATACACAGCTTTGGTTCCTTCAGGAGTTCACAGCCAATTGGTAGCAATTTTTGTATCATTTTCTGTAGCCTATCTGTTACCAAGTTATCAAATCTTACTTAGCTGCTTTATATATTTCATGTCTTTTATGGCATTATCAGATTCATTATTTTGTTTTATTTTTTGCATTACAAACTAGTGAACAAAGCAAGACAAATATTATCCCTATTTTGCTGATAAAGAAATTAGAGTTTTAAGAGCAATAGTGGGGCCTATGCTTGAACATGGATTTTTGACTACCATTATAGTTTCTTTCTATTACTTTAAGAAAGAATACAGAGTGATTATATGAAAGCTAATGAAGGAGGAAATTTTCAAGTGGATGGTCAATATATTTAATGCTGTGAAGGAGTTGTAAGAAAAATTCTGAAGAGAGGCTTTTTTTTTTGGTTTGGTAATGCAGTCGCAACTTACTTTTGAATAGTAAATTTTAGAAGTGATGTGGTACAAGTAGATGTCTGGAAGTTAATAGTGAGACATTGGGAAATGGGAAATAAGACACTGGGAAATGGAGTAGAGAGTACGGATGACTCTTTCAAGGAGATTAGAAGAAGAGGTATGATAGTAACATAAGAAGAAAGCAGGTGCAAGAGGGAAATAGCTGGTTTATGTTAGGATAAATAAGACTTGATCAAGTTTAGAGGAATTTTCTGGTAGAGCAAGGTATTGAAGATAAAGAATAAAAAGAACAGAATGGGTAGAAGTTAAGACTCAGCTAGTTTAGGGAAACACAGACCTTGCTTCCCCACAGAGTAGCGAGAAGACAGCATGGTTATGAATATAGAGAAATTCTGAAATATTTATTTTCAAATGGATTCAATTTCTGGGTAAGATAAAAGGTTATTGGCCGAAAGTAAGAGCTAGATCTTAAGAAGGGTTAAATTAAAATTCAGTCCAGGAGCGATGGCTCATGCCTATATTCTTAGCACTAGCCTATTACAGACACTACCTCATGCCTGTAATCCTAGACAAGGTGGGTGGATCACTTGAGCTCAGGAGTTCAAAACTAGCCTGGGCAACCTGGTGAAACCCCATTGCTACAAACAATTAAAAAATTAGCTGGACGTGATGGCCCATGCCTGTAGTCCCAGCTATTCAGGAGGCTGAGGTGGGAGGATTGCCTGAGTTTGGGAGGTCAAGGCTACAGTAAACCGTGGTCACACCACTGCACTGCAGCCTGGGTGACACAGTGATACCCTGTCTCTAAATAAATAAGTAAATAAAATTCAGAAAAGCCATTATACGTAATAGTCTAGGGAATTTTGTACAAGTGAAAAAAATGGATTTTTGAGCAGTACTGAGGCTAGGGTGTTAATGAATCATAAACATACAGAAGGAAGACTTTTAAGGTAATAGTGCAGTAATGAAAATAGTAAATTTATTGAGCATTTATTATGTGGCAGATACTGTTCTAAGTGCTTTATATGCATTATTCCATATGATTCTTACAATGCTGTGAGGTATTAATATCATTATTCTCATTTTAGAGATAAGGAAACTGAGGCATTGAAACATTAGCTGGCCTCCCAAGGTTACATGTTAATGAGGGGTAGATTTGGTACTTGACCTTGAGTTGTCTAACTTGTGCTCTTAAACACTATGCTGTAGTGCTGCATTTTACTAGGGGATGAGGTGGGGTAGATATTAGGAATCAAATACTGAAACCCTCAAGAAATGTAGAGATATGACTGGAGGTCCACATATGATAACAATAAAATTACAAAAAGAATGTTATAATAGAATAGTGTAAACTTCAGATGAGCATCAGAGTTTGGATGAAGGCCAAATAATAGAAAGTGACCCACAGCGGTCATGGAGAATGAAAACAATGCTGACCCCAGGCTATGGAAGTTGACAAGAATGAGAACTTTTCCTTTTCCGTAAGAGAGATAATGAGGGAAATAGCATATTCAGGGGGGGAAGCTTCATTAAAATAGGAAAATGCAGGAAATAGATATGCAAAATGTGAAAGAGCTTTAATTGGGGCACAGAGGGTAGGGGAATATCAGGTGTGATAGAGGAAGGAATGCAAAATTGAAGACACAGCTATGTATTGATTAAGTAGTCAAAAACTAATTGAGTTCTTATGCATGCTGGGGCACAATTTTGAATGCTGAGGATACAAGGATGAAAATGACATGGACACAGATAACAAGGCTGATCAGGCTCAGGTCAACTCTTGCTGAAAACAAATAAAAATGCTGGATACGATATAGAAAAGAAAAAAACTTCTTAAAAGTATCAAAAAGCTGATATGAAAATTACAGAAATCGAATCACATCTAAATTAGGAATTTCTTTTTATTAGTTGGTTAGTAAGAAATAATCAAGCCAAAACATTGGCGAGGGTAGGAAATAAATGCTGCACTAAAGTCACATTTGTCCTGGGGGAGCTTACTGAACCTGCTAATGAACTTCAGTGCTCAAGACTTCTGTGGCTTTGGATACTGAAAACAAATATCTACACAGCCTGTCCAGCTCAGGGACTGTAATAGGAAATCCTTCCTCCATAGAACTAGGATTCCAAGGGCTACAGCCTTAGAGGAATCAGAGGTAATCCTGTATTCCCCACCCCAAGGGGACTCCAAGGAAAGATGATTTTTTGTGAGCAGAACAAGGCAGGTCAGGGGGTGGGAAATTCCTGAAGAATTATTACTACTAACTAGCCCTCACAGATTGCCACACAAAATTCATATCACCTTGGTGGTCCAAAAAATGTCAGTTCATGCATTTAAACTAATACCCTCAGGTATCAAGTGGAAGCAAATGTAATCCCTCTGGAGAGAAATATACTCTCCTCCAGGGCCCCAAATAATTTCTATGAATAATTTTCCTATTATTAAAATTAACAGTTTCTAATAATTAAGCCTATAGGGAAAGAAAACCCAACAGGAACCAACAAAAACAAGGAAGAGCCGATCCACACCTTAAGTGCTTTCAAATACTGGAATTAGTAGATGTAGACTATACAATGACTGTGCCATTATAAAGAAAAAGTGAGCCTGAAGATATTTTTTGGGAATAGAAACTAAAAGAAAATGACCTAGCATATTGGAGAGGAAAAAAAAAACTTTTAGAAATGAAAAAAATTCCAATTACTTACACATACACACATGCAATTTAAAACTCAATGAATGAGTGGAACAGCAGATGAGATTCAGCTGAAGGGAGATATAGTGAACTGGAAATTAAGCCACAAGAAATTTTTCAGAATGTTGCACAGAGACAAAAATGTGGAAAATATGAAAGAGAAGCTGAGAGACTTGAAAGATATACTGCAAAGTTTTCTCGTCTAATCAAAGTTCCAGAGGAGAAGAAAGAGAGAATGTGACAAATATAATATATTTGAGGAGGTAATTTTTCAAAAAGCATGATATTACCCTTGAGCTCGAAGAGGTAGACAAGTGAAGAGTTAAATTCAACAGAGCACAATAATTGCTAAGATAGTGTTTCACAAAGAGTTCTTTGGGAGCAAAAATGGGGGAGTACTTAACCTTACCTGGAGCTTGAGGAAGACATAAAGGAGATGATGCCTGTATCAGTTATCTATTGTTATTAACAGGCCACCCCAAAACAAACTGACATCAGTCATTTATTTTGCTCACAAATCTGCAAGTTTGACAGGGCTTGTCAGGGACTGATTATCTGTGTCACATCTTATGATCTCGGGCTGTTCAACTGGGGAATAGAGGAACACTTTTAAGATGGCCAGCTCATATGGCTGAAAGTTAGTGTTGGCTATGTACCAGTAACTTGGCTAAGGCAATGGACTGGAGGCCTTTTTTGCTCTCCAGGCACTGCTTGGGTTTCCTCCTGACTACTGCCTGGATTCTGAGAGCAAGCATCCCCAAAGAACTAAGAGGAAGCTGCATCATTTGTATTACGTCCTTGTTCTGGAGGCTGGAAATCTGCAGGGTACTGGCATGGTCAGGTTCTGGTGAGAGCTCTCTTCCTGGCTTGTTGAAGGCTGTCATCACCCTGCTTACCAAACCTCTTCTTTGTACATGCACAGAGAGAGGGAGTGAGTCTTAGATTTTTGCCACAGGTCTAGGTAAAACACTGCAGAGAGAGAAGAAACTTTCTTTCAGCTTACAGTTACGTTTTCTTTCCTTTAAGCTTTCATCAACACCTTTCTTATAGCTTTTAAGGCTTCCACAAATCCATCCTTCCTTGGCCCTTTTGGCTTGACAGGCACTGGCTTTGGGGCTCTTCCAGCTTCTGTCTGCTGCCCAATCTCGGTGCTAATGCCACGTATTTTAAGTTTTTGTTTTGGCAGCACCCCATATCCAACTATCAAAATCTCTTCTGGTTATTGTCACTGCATAACAAACCACTCCAAAGCTTAGTGAGTGAAAACAACAGTCATTTGTTTTGCTTTTAAATCTGCAATTTGGGGAGGGCTTGGCAGGGATAGCTTGTCTCTGTTCCATGTGGTGTCAACGGGGGAAGCTTAACTGGGGTCTGGAGGTTTTATTCTCAAGATCCATACTCATATCGCTGCCATGGCCTACTTGGACTTTCTCGTGGTCTGTGTTGGGATTCTAAGCAAACATTCTAAGAAAATGAGACATCAGAAGGCAACATCACTTCCATTGTAGTCAAAAGCCTGCCTACATTTAAGTGGAGGGAATTTAATTCTTGCCTCCCCTTGATGAAGGAGTGTTAACTAAAGTCACATTATAAGAAGATATTCTTGCAGCCACTTTCAGAAAATATAAACTCCTACAATGCCTGAGTTTGTTGTTGTTGTTGTTAAAATTGGGTAAAGACTTAGTTTGCATGGCTACATAATTTTCCCCAATTGTGTTTGATCACTTGGGTTTAGTATAGAAGAAGCCAGTTTGCTCAGTTGACCCAGGCTTAATTCATAATAATTGATAGTCTTTGGGCTGTGATCATGAATTCTAAGGTAAAGGAGTCCAGAATTTAAAGGGAAATTTTGTGGTTTTTAAAAAATGATTAGAATTGGGATGAATATAGATCAAAACAGTTTCTATGTAATTTTATATGAGACCTTATCCACTCAGCCCCACAGAATTGCCCCCAATAAGCGCCATAGCAGGTAGAGGAGAGCATCAACATAACTGTTACTTCTTTTCTGGTTAGGTAAGGAAATAGTTTGCATTTTTTCCTCTGTTGATTCCATTAACCCATAGTTTAGGTTTTGCATCAATCCTATTACTTCCAAGTCTCTCAACTGCTATGACTAGTCCCTTGTGACTCATACCTAGCTATGCATTTCCCCCTTAGGGCCAACTAACTGATCTGGAGAACTCAGGGAAGTTACTGACCTCTCTTGGAGTTACTGATGTATTCCCTTTGTTACTAAATTCTTTAGTGAGTAAAGGTAGAATTTGCAAACGTGGAGACATTTCTTGATGCACACGAGTCTTTTAGAGACCCTCAAATTGATCTTGGTGGGTAAATACCCTATAGTTCTGATCCATTCAATAAGCACTTATTGAGTACCTCTGATGTTCTAGGCATTGTGCTAAATATTGCATAAGGAACAGAGCAAAAGGTATAAGTGTTGACCTTTAGGAGCTTAGAATGTGTTAAAATTAAGGATAATAAGGGCAATGAACAAGATAAGCATAGGGTGCTCTGGGAGAGTAGAAGGGGAGGAATGTGAATGAAGGAAGGCTTGTGGGAGGAAGTGCTACATGATTTGCTAGCCTCAAAGAAGGAGGAGTTAGATAGATGAATAAGGTATGGCACTCCAGGCAAGGGGCAGTGTGTGCAGAGATGCAGAGAGGGTGAAAGAACAGAGTACATTCAGAGACTATGCCCACTTGGCATGGTTAGAGCATAGAATGATACTAGGGTAGAATGCATAAAGAACAAGGAGTAACAGGCAGAAGTTTGGATTTCATCTGACAGCAGAAGTGAACATGGCATGATCAGGTTTCTGTTTTAGAATGATCCCTCTAGAAGCAATGTGGAGTATAGAGTATAGATTGGAGAAAGATGAAGTTGAAAGCGGGAAGATTCATTAGCAAATCAGTGCATACACTCAGCAAGAAATGACAGTGGCCAGAACAAAGACAATTGCAGCAGAGAAAGGCAAGGGGAAACAAAGCTGAGAAGCATGTAGGAGTAAAGCTCATCCTTCTCATCTTGAGAATGCTGACACTTGGACAATAAGGGGTCAAGGAAATTTGAGAATTGTACTTCAGGGAATGCATTCAATGCTTTAGGTTAACTGTGTTAGGTAACATGGCTTAGGCTTACAGACAAAATGGGCATTACTACTCTATACAAGAACTGCATGAAGATTTCCTGGAGAGACAGGGTGGTGGAGGTGGGGGTGGAGAGAGAGAGAGAGAGAAAGAGAAAGACTGAGGGGTGATCAAGTCTTAAGAGGGACTGTTATAGATTGAATTGTGTCCCCCCCATATTATGCCCCCGAAAAGAAAGGTTGGAATCCTAACCTATAGTACTTTAGAATATGATCTTATTTGGGGAATTTGGATATAGAATCATTGTAAAGATAATCAAGTTAAAATAAAGCCATTAAGTGGACCCTAATCCAATATGACCAGTATCCTTATTTAAGGGAAATTTAGACCCAGAGACAGGCACCCATAGAGGGAAGACAATGTGAAGATATAACAGGAAAAGGCAGCCATTCGCAAACCAAGGAGGCCTGGGACAGATCCTTCCCTCACAGCCCACAGAAGGAACCATCCCTGCCACCTTGAGTTTGGACTTCTATCCTTGAAAGCTGTGACACAATACATTTCTATTGTTTAAGCCACCCAGTTACTAGTATAGTTGGCCCTCTGTATCTGTGAGTTCCACATCCATGGATTCAACCAACTACAAATTAAAAATATGTCAGAAGCAAAAATGGATGGGTGGGTCTGTGCTGAACATGTACAGACTTGTTTTCTTGTCATCATTGTCTAAAGAAAATACTGTATAACAACTATTTATGTAGCAGTAGGTATTACAAGTAATCTAAAGATGATCTAAAGTATCCAGGAGGATGTGAATAGGTTATATGTAAACACTACACCATTTTATAGAAGAGACTTAAGCATCCGTAGATTTGGGTATCCTCAAATACCCAATCCTCCTCAACAGGGAGTCTGGGAACCAATTCCCCTTGGACACTGAGGGATGGCTGTAGTTTGTTGAAGCACCCCTAGGTAACAAATATAGGGATTAAAACTGAGCACACAAATTCAATACATAATAGGGAGAGGCAATTGAGGATGCTTGGGCCACAGTACAGCACACAACCTGCCTGGCTTTCATTTCTCAGGGGCTGAGCAGCTGAGGGTTGGTTGTGACTGGCAACATTGTGTATTCATGGTATAAGTATGCATTTGCTCAGAAAATCAAAGTTAACTTTCCTTTCTGTGGTCTCTTGTATTAAAAACTAGAAGGGCTAGTACAAAATAAATCTAATCCTGACCACAGGAAAAAAAAAATTATCAGATGTACTAGTTTAATTTAAATAAAAGCAACTTATTAGTAGATCTGTATTCAGCAAGATTTTACAATTCAACCAGAAAATGAAGGATACTCTTTCCAAGGAGCATTTTACTAATGCCTCATGACTACAGATTTCACATGAAGTAAAGAATAAGATTGTTCTAGTACTGGACTTATTAAATAAAGACCAACAGTAGTCTAGCACTTGCTTGGTGAATTTGCTAAGACTCATGTTTATGCGACCACTATTGAATCCTGTTTGTTTCCTTTATAGCATCAAGCTAAAGACCTTGTTTAATTATAGTGGTGACTCACTTGCATAAATGAATGAATAATTGAATGAACGAATGAATGGATGGATATTATGTTTAAAAGAAAATGGCTGTAATGGCAGTAAAATCCCTTATGAAATAGCCAGGTGTCATCAAATATAATGTTTTCTTGTCTCCTTTTCCTTTGATTTTAACCTTCCTAGGGGAATTTTTCCATTTTAAGGTAACTAGGCAACCGTTATTTTGAATCACTTAGTACAGGCTTTGTATACTATGGATGCCCGATAAATCCATTTTGATTAATGAGCAATTTACAAAACCACCAGCAAAGACTGCTTCCAATCATGTTGAAAGAGAATAGATGATCTCTGATAAAAAAAGGACACATTCAGCAGCTGCATGCCAAGATAGTGTGGGTCTTAGTTACCTCTGTTCAATTTGCTAATGTGCTTACTGGACTGTGGTCAACCTGAAATGAAAATGCCATCTGGTGAATAATCCACACTCTACTATACCTTCTGCAACATCTGAAATAGGTAGGAGTGTGAGGGTGATTCTGTAACTTGTTTATACCTAAATATTTTTTGAATGGTGAAACTTCCTTAATTCTATTGCCAAAATTTTGAAATTAAATGAATTCAGACTGGACTAGAACAAATGTTTATCTCTGCTGAGCAAGTGGGTAGTGTCAACATGATTTCTGTGGGTATATTTAACTCATTTAAGAGAGCAAACTATTTTTGAGCCCCATGGAAGCATTATTTTACACACAAATACTGGCCTTGCTGATAAGAAGCACTTTTATCAAACAGTAATTATTTACTTGGCATTTGCTCTGTGCTCAGTGCTGTCTTAGCCATTTATTAAAGCAGATATCTACATGATAAATTTGTAAACCAGTGCTAGTTCATGGATGGGCAAAGAGAGAAATCAAGGAAAGCAGTACCTGAAGGGAATTACCTGCCTCCTTCATCCATATGGACAGTTTACCAATTAAAAAATATAATCATCTCAATTTGTTCAACTTAGTGGAAATGTGTTGTAGTTGGAAAACAATATTATAAACTACACACACACACACACACACACACACACACACACACACTTTTTCTCCCCTGAAATCAATTTTGTTTCCACTGTGTGTGAATAACATGAATTGTAGACTAGTAAGATTTCTAAAAATACAATGAACTCCTGCTAGGTTGATGATTTGATGATGTGGGAATATAGGCTCTTTATGATGTCGTGTATGCTATCCTATGCAACAGAATTTCTCCTATAATGTCAGTGTATGTATAATAACAAGGTAAACATTCATTAATTCATAAGTTCATGCTCATGAAAGTAGAGTGGACTTACCACACTGCTTCACATTCCACTCTTGTTCTGTATTGCTTTCCTCAATCCTGAGATACTTTTCCTCCCTTGTCTCTCACTCTCAGCAGATGGTCTCATATTTTAATTCATAAAGAAAATAGAATTTACCAGATGGAACTTTGTTAACTTCCTTCATTAGGTGATTAAATGCAACTGCCCTGTAACCTTCCTCTTGCTCCCTGCTCCTGTTAAGATACAGGGGGTTTTCCTCCTCCTGCCCAAGGTTGGCTCCATCTTCTATGCGCCAGGTCTTTTCCTCCTCAGGAATTTGACCCCTGCATTCAGTCTTTCTCTCCTCTATAATTTTAATTGTCCTTTTTTTTTTTTTTTTTTTTTTTGAGACAGAGTGTCCCTCTGTCACCTAGGCTGGAGTGCAGGGGCACGATCTCGGCTCACTACAAGCTCCGCCTCCCAGGTTCACCCCATCCTCCTGCCTCAGCCTCCCGAGTAGCTGGGACTACAGGCGCCCGCCACCACGCCCGGCTAATTTTTTGTATTTTTAGTAGAGATGGGGTTTCTCCGTGTTAGCCAGGATGGTCTCAATCTCCTGACCTCGTAACCCGCCCACCTCGGCCTCCCAAAGTGAATTGTCCTTTTTTACTGCATTGTGCACATCAACAATTAAATCTGCTCGGGTCTTTATCGTTTGAAAAGCAGTAGCAAACCACAAGAACAACTAACAGCAAAAACAACTAAACAATAAATGAAAACTTCCTTGATCCCACCTGACGACTCAGCTAGTGTTCTCTCTTTATTCCCGTGCTCTCAATATGTTCATTTTCCTTCTTTGTTTTCACTTCTCAGCCCACTTTAGTCAGGTGTCTATTCCCCATTACTCTGTGGAAATGTGCTTTCTAAAGTTACTAATGACCTTGATGTCACAAAATCAAAAAGGGCATTTCTCGATCCTCACTTTTTCTTAACCTCTCAGAAGCACAGGTTGGCGACACCTCCATCTGGAGACCCTTTCTTCCCTTTGTCGTCTAAGGTAGATTTTCATCTTATTATGGTGCTCCTTCTCTATTGTGATGGCTGACATTTTTCTGCATGACTCTAAAAGTTGAGAGTTCCTCAAGGCTCGTAAACAGTCCTCTTTATTCTTTTTACTTTTTTCTCTCTATAAATTATCTCATCTATAGTACGGCTTCTGTTACAATCAACATGCTGAAGACTCCGACATACTTATCTCCAGGCTAGACCACTTCTCTTAACTCCAGGCCCATCTATTAATCCATCTAATATCTTTACTTGTATATCTACTTAATATCATCTACTTATTTACTTATATATCTCCAAGGGCACCTCAACCTTAGCATATCTAGAACTAAACTCCCACATCTTTCCCCCCAAACCTTTTCTTCATGCTGAATTTCTCATCTCAGTAAATGATTTAATTATTCATCCAGCCTGAAGGTCATTATTGCAACCTCCCTATCAATTCCTCATATTCAAATAAGCGCCAGGTCTTGTGACTTTTAGCTGGAATAAACAGTAGGATGAGGGTAATTATGTACATTTCTATCCCTAAATATCTCTCAAATCCATCTGCCTCTCTTAATCTCCGTCACCACCAATAACTGTCCTGGACTATTATAATAGTCTCCTAAAGTCCTGTTTCCCTTGTAACACTTCCTTGGACTATTATAATAGTTTCCTAAAGTCCTGTTTCCCTTGTAACACTTCCCTAGGTGTGTCCCAGAGATTCTGTAGATTGTATCTTCTTTGTAGAAATGTGAATTTATTATTCACATTGCAGTCAAAGTAATCTTAAAACCACAAATCTGATTGCATCACCCTCCTTAAACTTCTGCAATAACCTTGCATCTGCTAAAGATACAGATTTTTAACTACTATTTTTGCTTATACATTGTAATATTTAAATTTAGATTATCCTGGCTAGTGTGCAGTTGAAACCCTGACAAGAGTTATTTTCAATGCTCCTGAAAGAGGCAATATTGTCTGCAAACAGGGATAGTGTGACTTCCTCTATTTCTGTTTGGATGCCCTTTATTTCTGTCTCTCGCTTGATTGATCTGGCCAGGACTTCCAATACTACGTGAAATAGGAGTGGTGAGAGAAGGCATCCTATCTTGTGCCAGTTTTCAAGGGGAATGCTTCCAGCTTTTGCTCATTCAGTATGATGTTGGCTGTGGGTTTGTCATATATGGCTCTTATTATTTTGAGGTCTGTGCCTTCAATACCTAGTTTATTGAGAGGTTTTATGTTGAATTTTATTGAAAGCCTTTTCTGCATCTATTGAGATAATCATGTGTTTTTTGTCTTTAGTTCTGTTTATGTGATGAATCACATTTATTGATTTGTGTATGTTGAACCTACCTTGCATCCCAGGGATGAAGCTTAATTGATTGTGGTGGATTAGCTTTTTGGTCTGTTACTGGATTAAGTTTGCAAGTATTTTGTTGAGGATTTTTGCATCAATGTTAATCAAGTATATTGGCCTGAAGTTTCTTGTTTTTATTGTGCTTCTGGCAGGTTTTAGTATCAGGATGATGCTGGCCTCATAGGATGAGGTCGCAAGGAGTCCCTTATCAATTTTTTGAAATAGTTTCAGTAGAAATGGTACCAGCTCTTCTTTGTATATTGGGTAGAAATTGGCTGTGAATCAGTCTAGTCATAGGCTTTTTTTGGTTGTTAGGCTATTTATTCCTAATTCAATTTTGGAGCTTGTTATTGGGCTGTTTAGGGAATCAGTTCCTTCCTGGGTTAGTCTTGGAAGAGTGTATGTGTCCAGAAATTCATCCATCTCTTCTAGGTTTTCTCGTTTATGTGCATAGAGATGTTCATAGTTGCCTCTCATGGTTATTTGCATTTCTGTGGGGTCAGTGGTAACATCCTCTTTGTCATGTCTGATTGTGTTTATTTAGACCTTCTCTCTTTTCTTCTTTATTAGTTTAACTAGTGGCCTATCTTATTAATTTTTTTAACAAATCAGCTCCTGGATTTGTTGCTCTTTTGAACGGTTTTTCATGTCTTGATATCCTTCATTTCAGCTCTGATTTCAGTTATTTCTTGTCTTCTGCTAGCTTTGGGGGTGCCCTTGGTTCTCTAGTTCTTTTAGTTGTGATGTTAGGTTGTTAATTTGAGATCTTTCTAAATTTTTGATGTGGGCATTTAATGCTATAAATTTCCCTCTTAACACTGCCTTAGCTGTGTTCCAGAGATTCTGGTATGTTGTATCTTTGCTCTCATTAGTTTCAAAGAACATCTTGATTTCTGCCTTAATTTTATTAGTTACCCAAAAGTCGTTCAGGAGCAGGTTGTTTAATTTCCATGTAATTGCATGATTTTGAGTTTATTTTTTGAGCCTTGGAGCTAGAGGCTGTAATCCTTAGCAAACTAACACAGGAACAGAAAACCAAATACTGCATGTTCTCACTTAAAATTGGGTGCTAAATGATGAGAAGTGCTCATCATCATTTAAGTGAGAAGTTCTCACTTAAAATTGGGTGCTAAATGATGGACACCAGGAAGGGAACAACAGACCCTGGGGCCTACTTGTGGGTGGAGGGTGGGAAGAGGGTGAGGATCAGAATAAATAAGTATTGGATACTAGGTTTAGTACTTGAGTGATTAAAAAATCTGTACAACAAACCCTTGTGACACGAGTTTACCTATATAACAAATCTGAAAATGTAGCCTTGAAACTAAAATAAAAATTAAAAAAGAGGCAATATCATTATAGCTCTTGGAACTCACAATTGTGTAATTTCAGCACATACTAACAATTAAGCTTTTTTTTTTTTCTGAGATGGAGCCTTGCTCTGTCGCCCAGGCTGGAGTGCAGTGGCGTTATGTCAGCTCACTGCAAGCTCCGCCTCCCAGGTTCACGCCATTCTCCTGCTTCAGCCTCCCCAGTAGCTGGGACTACAGGCACCCACCACTGCGCCCAGCTAATTTTTTGTATTTTTAATAGAGATGGGGTTTCACTATGGTCTCCATCTCCTGATCTCATGATCCGCCTGCCTCGGCCTCCCAAAGTGCTGGGTTTACAGGCGTGAGCCACTACGCCCAGCCTTAAGCTCTTACTTCATGGAATCACTCAGTAACTTTGCTCTATTTAGCAGCTGCTGCATACAACATTAATTGGGAAATAGTTTTATACTGAAAATATAATCTTGTAGAAATCTTACAATCTTACGTAATGCTTGTAGTCTCATATTTAACTATTCACCTTACCTGCATTTTCTAGACTTGTCAGATATATCTACTGCAGACTTACTAATTCATTTTCTTTTCATTTAGTATTATATGAAGACTACTAGTTCTGTCTTTACATAGTCCTAGACTCTAAGTAACATTAACACAACTAACTGACATACAATACAGTCACACTGTATGTTTAAAAAGTAACAATTTTACCTTGATTATATTGTATTCTAGATTTTATCTAATAGATTACATTTTATGTTTATATTAGAACACACAAATTCAAGAAGCTCATAATAGTTCTTCAATTGGCCTTTCAGAGGCAATTTATACAAAAAGGGAAAAGAGAAAACTAGGTTATTCTTAGGTGTTATTTTTGGGTATTAACAGATGAGGTTTGAATAATTTAGAAAAATAGAGAATTAAAAATAATTTTGTTATTTAATCTCAGTCAATAAATAATGTACAAAATATATCCAGATCTGTGATTTCATCACATTTATCATCAGATGTCATATTGCAGTTGTGGAAACTAAAACAGAATAGGGGAATAGTTTGTTGAAGGAGATAAGAATTCAGAAGCAAATCTGGCATTGAGAAATCACTGTAGTTCTCAGTGCATTATTCAAATAATTCAGTGTTTCCTTTTACTGTTCAGAACCATCTCTTTTCATAAAATCATTCATTCATTAATCCATCTATCCACCAATTCATTTGTTCCACAAACGTTTGTTGAGGACATACTATTTTCCAGGTCAACTAGGTGTGTAAGACACAAAGACAACAAAGACATATTAAACATAGGGTAACAGAGAGGCTTTATCTACAGTACTTGGCAAAATAATAGCTTAAAGCACTCTAGATACTGGGATTCAAGAAGGTTCAAAGACTATTATTACATCCAGAGCTGTATATTTAACTATCAGATTTAGCCAGGCTCATTCTCTGTGGGAGAACCTATTCTATTTATATGCAGAATCCAGAGAAAAACTGCAGTTGCCATTTAATCACATAGGTTTTCTATGCTTTTCATTTCCATAGAACCATTCAATTTATTACCAAATAATCATCTAGTGTTTTCTGTGTTTTTCACCTGTGCATAAAGGCAATAAAAAGAGAATAATGGAATGCTAAAAGCTATGCCGTAAACAAGTCGAGAGCATTGAATCAGCTAAGCACTCCATTCCTTTTGAAACTAACTGACCTTTAGTCACAGGCATCTATGAGGATGCTGGATTATCATTTCAACTGAAGCATACTTTGGTTACTATAACCACGTGTGTAAAAGTGATTTGTGTAAATCTTGAGATACGGTGGCATACCTTTCTGAAGGTATGAGCTGACTTAAAATGCCTACCTTTTAATTGCTGTTGGATTGTATTACTTTAAAATTTTTAGCATAGCTACTAATATAATGCTTCTTTTCTCTTCTAGTAGCTCAAAAATATGTATTCTCATTATAAAATAGAATAAAGTTTTACTAAATTTTGTTCAATATATAGAAAGTAAAAAGAATAAAAGTACTTTCCCCGTATCATACTTATTGCAGCAACTAATTTAATATTCTGATGTATTTTCTTTCTTTGCTGTGCATAGTTTTTATATCAATGTGAACATTTGGTGTATATACATTTGTGGGTACTTTTTTTTTTTTTTTTTTCTGAGATGGAGTCTTGCTCTATCACCCAGGCTGGAGTGCAATGGCGTCATCTCCGCTCACTGCCACCTCCGCCTCCCGGGTTCAAGTGATTCTCCTGCCTCAGCCTCCTGAGTAGCTGGGATTATAGGTGCGTGCCACCATGCCTAGCTAATTTTTGTATTTTTAGTAGAGTTGGGGTTTCACCATGTTGGTCAGACTGGTCTCAAACTCCTGATGTTATGATTTGCCCACCTCGCCTCCCAAAGTTCTGGGATTGCGTTTGTACTGTATTCATTTTTTAATTAATTTAAACATTTTTCTTATTATAGAAGTATAATGGCTCTGTCATCATGGCAAGATCTGTCAAGTTTTTGTTAAAGCAATCCTTCCCCTATTTTCTCCTGCCCAGTGTTCCAAACAATAATGAAAGAAAAAATAGAAAAACAGAAAATTATAAACGTTACTTGTGCTGAAAAGCAAAGAAAATATCTTGATGCTCAACTGGATCAGAAGCACAAAATAGAAAGTGGGACTTGAATAGCAGCCCAGCTCGTGACTTGGTCCAGCAGTGGGCAGAGCAGTGGGGAGATTGCATTCTTAATGGTAATGGAGTCTAAAAGAGCTTCACTGGAGCTAGGGCCAGAAAGTCTGCCCCTCTGCTGAGAATGAGCAGCTGGGCATATTAAATTTCCAGACAATAAAAACAAGCAAGATAGAGGTTTGCTAAAGAACTAGAGAAACAAAGGTACTTAATAATTTTTATTTTTGTTAAAAAACATTTCTGGTAAAAATTTTAAGAGAAACCACTAAAAATTAGGAAAATATATCTTCGAAACCAATAATGAAGACTAAAAGAATAAAGCAACAATTTATTAATTAAAATGTCCCTAGTTCTTGGAAAAAAGAGTGAAGCAAAGAAGAAACATGGCAAACCAAAAATGCGAAGGAGAAGATAACTAATGAAAGACAAAGAGATTATATTGCATGCAATTTTTAAAATTCTTGCTATATGCTTTTTTATAAGAGTAAAACCTAAATCAAAGTGACACAGAAAGTTTGAAAGAATTGGGTTAAAATAGGAAAGATCAAGCAAAACCAACATAAAGAAAGGCATTGCAGGACTATCATTAGTCAAAATTTAATTGAAGGCTAAAAACATTAAAAAGGATAAAGAGGAATACTTTATAATATTAAAAGAATCAAACCACAGAAAGCACAATACCAAGAAGATATCATAGCCGTAATTTTTTTTACATACAACAATACACAACACAGCCTTGAAACATTAAAAGCCAAAACTGATAGGATTTTGAGAAACAGAAATCTACAATATTTGCAAGATTTTAATATGTCATGTTTCATTCAGAATATTGACAAATGAAGAAATATAATATTAGAACTATTGAATAATAGAATTAATAAGCTTGATTTAATAGACATATCTAGGACTTTGTGCCCATCAATACAGAATATATATATTCTTTTCAAGCACACATAAAACCCTGAGAAAAATTGACCACTTATTAGGTCATTGTGGCAATTTCAACACATCAGAGAAATAAGTCACAATCTGAAATCATAATATAATGAAATATGAATCAACAATAAAAAATATAAATCACATTATATTTGAAAAATGTCCCCCCCCCATATTGAATGTCTTATAAATTACTAAAGACATACATGCTTGTAGCACTGAATTAAAACCTGTAAACAATGCCTAACTTTATATAGGCAATGCTAATCAAGTCTCACATTTTGCCTGACCCAATTGTTCCCACTCTTCAGCTCACCTTCATTTTAAGCAATGCTCAAAGCTCAGTATATATCCTTTAATATACAAACATAGAAAAGCATGTCTATGTCATGATGATGGTAATTGTAATTTGCCAATGCAGAGGAAACTGAAACAGCTGTTTGTTGTCTAACAAAACTTTAAAGATAATTAAGTGGGAAATAGTAAGAGGTATATTTCACAAATACATAGTAAATTTGATAAGAAATTCACTCTTCAACAACATTCATAATAGTCTAGCTTCCAGGATTCCCACCTCCTAGGAGAAGGGGGAGTGTACCAAATCAAGGGAATACCCTGTGGTTCAGAAGGACCTGGATGGCAGGCCTTGAGCACCAGATCTTTCTGCTGATATGAAGTTTCCTTCAGCAGAAGCACAGTTCCAGTGCTGGGTTCAGCAGGGAAATTCTTCAGCTCTAACCCAACAATCAGCCCTGGTGCATTTGATAGGCCTTGGAGAAGGAGATGTCATTCCCCCCTTGTCCACCATGGCAGGCACAGTTGGGGCTTCTCCCATGGGAACTCAGCATGGGTACAACAATAGACAGCCTTTCTGAAACATGTCAGGGTTACTGCATCCCCACAGGAGGAGCACCCTACAGGGTCAGGGTTGCATAAGACACAGAGTCACTTGCTTTCTACATGGAGTATCAACATTCCTACAGATGAAAAGAGGTGCCTATCCGATCTGCATAGCCAGAGCACTAGGACAGGAGTGTGTCTGAGAGGTGGATAACTTTCCTGCTGACCTGACAGGGGAGCTGAGGTAACTGCAACTCTTCCCCTTGATAAGACCTTAGTGCAAATCACTGTGAGCTCCTCCAGCCACCTCTGTCAAGGCTGGGACCTCTACCCACCATTGGGTATTGCATTTACCTACTTGCTTTAGCCACAGCTGGTTCCTGTCAAGGGACACCTCCCCTATTGGCCTGAAGCCTGAACCATCAAACCAGCAAATAAAATACTGGGGAAAAATAAATAAATAAATAAATAAATAAATAAATAAATAAATAAGCACATGCCATGGAAGAATGAGATAAGCATCAAGAGACCTCTGCCATTCCAACCCCATAGTAAACAGTGAACTTGCTCACACACTGAGAACGTTCTTAATATAACCAGCATATGAGAAAGCCATCATGCAAAGACTATAACCAAGGAAATCTTACAGAGTCTTCACCCCTGAAAGTACCAAGAACTAAGTTAGGCAATAATTAACTATAAGCATTAAAGTCACATCTTTTAGGGGAAAAAAGGAATATTAAAAAAAAACACAGTCAAATCAAACATAAATTTAAGAATAATTAGAAGGAATAGTCTACCCAAATGAGAAGGAATCAGAAAGGTAACTCTGGTAATATGACAAAACAGGATTCTATAACATCTCTGAAAGATCACACTAGCTCTCCAGCAATGGATCCAAACCAAGATGAAATCTTTGAAATGCCACATAAGTAATTCAGAAGGTTGATTATTAAGCTACTCAGGGAGATATTAGAGAATGATGAAAACCCTCATAGAGAAATTAAAGCAGTTCAGGATATGACTGAAACATTTTCTAGAGAGATAGATATCATCCAGAAAAAGCAATCCGAACTTCTGGAAATGAAAGATACACTTAGGGCGTTACAAAATGCAGTGGAAAGTTTTAACAATAGACTAGAACAAATAGAAGAAAGAATTCCAGAGCTCAAAGACAGGGCCTTTGAATTAACCCAGTCAGACAAAATAAAGAAAAAAGAATCAAAAGAAATGAATACAGTCTTCAAGAAATATGGGATTATGGAAAATGACCAAACCTAAGAATAATTGGCATTTCTGAGAGAGAAGAGAAAATATTAAGTCTGGAAAACTTATTTGAGGGAATAATTGAGGAAAACTTATTTGAGGGAATAATTGAGGAAAACTTCCCTGGTCTAGCTAGAGATCTAGATATCAAATTCAAGAAGCTCAAATAACTCTTGGTAAATTTATTGCAAAAAGATATTTACCAAGGCATATAGTCATCAGGTTATCTAAAGTAAACATGAAGCAAAGAATTCCAAGAGCAGTAAGACAAAAACATCAGGTAACGTACAAAGGAAAACCTATCAGACTAACAGCAGAAACCTGACAAGCCAGAGAGGTGTGGGGTCCTATCTTCAACCTTCTTAAACAGAACAACTGTCAGCCAAGAATTTTATATCCCACAAAACTAAGTTTCACAAATGAAGAAGAAATAAAGTGATTTTCAGACAGATCTTGAGGGAATTTGTCATTACCAAACCAGCACTACAAGAAGTGCTAAAAGGTGTTCTAAACGTTGAAGAAAAGCCCAATATGTATCAAAATCGAACCTTTGGAAAGCTTAAAACTCACAAGGCCTATAAAACAATGACATAATGAAAAAAACTAAGTAAAAATTACTATGATGAAGAGAACAGAATCTCACATCTCAATATTAACGTTGAATGTAAATGGCCTAAATGCTCCACTTAAAAGGTACAGAATGGCAGAATGGATTTTAAAATATCACAATCCAAATATTGGCTGTCTTCAGGAGATTCATTATATGAATCCTTGTGGAAGGATTCATATAAACTGAGGGCAAAAGGGTGGAAAAAGATATTCCACACAAACGGAAACAAAAGCAAGCAGGAGTAGCTAGTCTTATATCAAACAAAACTGACTTCAAAGCACCAATGGTAAAAAAAAAAAAAAAAAAACACACACACACACACAAAGACGGTCACTATATAATGATAAAAGGGTCAACCCAGCAAAAAGATATTACCATCCTAAATATATATACACCTAACACTGGAGCTCCCAGATTTATGAAACATTACTACTAGACCTAAAAAATGAGATAGCAACATAACAATAGTGGAAGATTTTAATTTACCACTGACACCACTAGACAGATCTTTGAGACGTAAAATCAACAAAGAAACGGTGGACTTAAATGGCATAATACAACAAATGTACTTAGCAGATATTTACAGAACATTTTACCCTAGAACAATAGAATATACATTCTTCTCATCAGCACGTAACATTCTTCAAGATAGACCATATGACAGGCCAGAAAAGAAGCCTCAATAAATTTTTAAAAATCGAAATCATAAGTGTCTTCTCAAACCACAGCAAAATAAAACCAGAAATCAACTCAAAAAGGAACCCTCAAAACTATAAAAACGCATGGAAATTAAATAACCTGCTCCTCAATGATATCTGAGCTAACAATGAAATTAAGATGGAACTTTAAAAATTATTTGAATTGAATGATAATAATGAAATAAGTTATCAAATTCTCTGGGATACAGCAACAGCAGTGCTAAAGGAAAGTTTATAGTGCTCAATGCCCACATCAAAAACTGGAAGGGCACAAATTTTAACAACCTTATGTTGTATCTCAAGGGACTAGAGAAACAAGAACAAACTAAACCCAAAGCTAGCAGAAGAAAAAAGATAACAAAGATCAAAGCAAAAGTAAATGAAATTCAAACAAATAAATATAAGAGATTAATGAAATAAAAAGCTGATTCTTTGAAAAATAAACAAAATAGATAGATCATTAGCTAGATTAACCAGGTGAGGAAGAGAGAAGATTCAAATAAGCTCAATTAGAAATGAAACTGGATACATTACAACCAATACCACAAAAATACAAAAGATCATTGGATGCTACTGTGAACACCTATACACACATGAACTAGAAAACCTAGAGGAAATGGGTCAATTCCTGGAAACATACACCACTCATAGATTAAATCAAGAAGAAATAGAAACCATAAAGACACCAAAAACAAGCAGTGGATTGAATCCATAATTTTAAAATTGCCAACAACAAAAAAGCCCAGGACCAGATGGATTCACAGCTGAATTCTACCAGACATTCATTAAAAAGAGAATTGGTACCAATCCTACTGAAACTTCCAAAAGGTTAAGAAAGAGGGAATCCTTCCTAAATCATTCTATGAAGCCAGTATCAGCCTGATGCCCAAACCAGGAAGGACACAACAAAAAAAAGAAAACTATAGACTAATTACCCTGATGAACGTAGATGCAAAAATCCTGAACAAAATACTAGCTAACCAAATCCAGCACATCAAAAAGATAATTCATCATGATCAAGTGGGTTTCCTCCCAGGGATGCAGGGATGGTTTAACATATGCAAGTCAATAAGTGTGATACATTACATTAACAGAATTAAAAACAAAAATGATATGATCATCTCAATAGATGCAGAAAAAGCATTTGACAAAATCCAGCATACTTTTGTGATAAAAACTCTCAACAAATGAGGCATAGAAGGGACCTATCTCAAAATAATAAAAGCTATATATGACCTACCCACAGCCAACATCATATGGAATGGGAAAAAGTTGAAAGCATTCCCCCCACCGAGAACAGGAACAAAACAAGCTTGCCTACTTCCACCATACCTTTTCAGCATATTCCTGGAAGTCCTAGCCAGAGCAATTAAGCAAGATAAAGAAATAAAAGGCATTCAAATAGAAGTCAAACTATTGCTGTTTGCAGATGATATTTTATATTTAGAATATTCTAAAAACTCTCCAAAAGACTCCTGGATTTGATAAACAAATTCAGTAAATTCTCAGGTTACAAAATCAGTGTACACAAATCCATAGCACTGCTATACACCAACAATGATCACACTGAGAATCAAATCAATAACTCAATCCCTTTTACAACAGCTGCAAAAAAATAAAAATACCTAGGAACATACTTAACCAAGAAGGTGAAAGATCTCTACAAGGAAAACTACAAAACACTGCTGAAAGTAATCATAGATGACACAAACAAATGAAAACTCACCCCATGCTCATGGAAAAATGACCATACTGCCCAAAGCAATTCATAGATTCAATGCAATTCCCATCAAAATACCAACATTATTTTTCACAGAATTATAAAAAACCATTCTAAAATTCATATGGAACCACAAAAGGAGCCCAAATAGCCAAAGTGACCCTAAGCAAAAAGAACAAATCTGGAGGCATCACATTACCAGACTTCAAATTATACTGCAATGCTATAATTACCAAAACAGCATGATACTGGTATAAAAGTAGGCACATAGACAAATGGAACAGAATAGAGAACCCAGAAATAAAGCCAAATACATACAGCCAAGTGATTTTGACAAAGCAGACAAATACATAAATTTGGGAATGGACACCCTATTTAATAAATGGTGCTGGGAAAACTGGCAAGCCACATGTAGAAGAATGAAACTGGTTCCCTATCTCTCACCACATATAAAAATCAACTCAAGATGGATCAAAGACTTAAATATATGACATGAAACTGTAAAAATTCTGGAAGACGATGTTGAAAAATCTTATGTAGACATCAGCCAAGGCAGAGAATTCATGACTAAGACCCCAAAAGCAAATGCAACAAAAACAAAAGTAAATGGGACCTAATTAAACTAAAACACTTTAGCATAGCAAAATAAATAATTATCAGAGTAAACAGTCAACCCACAGAATGGGAGAAAATATTTGCAAACTGTGCATCCGACAAAGGACTAGTATCCAGAATCTACAAGGAACTCAAATCAGAAAAAACAAAAAACAAAAAACCCGCAAATAATTCCTTCAAAAACTTGACAAGGAATATGAATAGACATTTCTCAAAAGGAGATATACAAATAGCTAATAAACATATGAAAAAAATGTTCAGCATCACTAATCAGGGAAATGCAAATTCAAACCACCTTACTCCTGCAAGAATGGCCATTACTAAAAAGTCAAACAACAAATGTTGGTGTGGATGTGGGGAAAGGGGAACACCTATTCACTGCTGGTGAGAATGTAAATTAGTACAACCTTTGTGGAAAACAGTATGGAGGTTCCTTAAAGAGCTAAATGTAGATCTACCAATGGATACAGCAATCCTACTACTAGGTCTACCCAAAGGAAAAGAAGTCATTATATGAAAAAGATACTGGCACACATATGTTTATAGCAGCACAATTCACAATTGCAAAGATGTGGAAGCAAGCTAAGTGCACATCAACTAATGAGTGGATAAAGAAAATGTAGTATATAAAATGTAGTATATATATGCCATGGAATACTACTCAGCCATTAAAAGGAACAAAATAATGTATTTTGCATCAATTTGCATGAAGCTAGAGGCCATTATTCTAAGTGAGGTAACACAGGAGTGTGAAACCAAAAACCATATGTTCTCAGTTATAAATGGGAGGTAAGCCATGTGTCAGCAAAGGCATCATAGAGTGATATAATGGACTCAGAAGCAGGAGGGTGAGAGGGTAGCTAGGGATAAAAAAACAAACTACACATTAGGTACAATGTAGACTACATGGGTGATGGGTGCACAAAAATCTCAGAATTCACCACTATATAATTCATGCGTGTAACATAAAACCACTTATACCTCAAAAGCTATTGAATTTTTTTTTAAAAAAAGACATTTGCTCTTAACAGTAAAAAAAAAAATCAGTGAAAATTATTTGCCTGAATCAAAATTAAATATCCAACACAAAATATAAAAACAATTTTTGGAAGGATTTGAGCTTGTAATTTTTGCCAGCTATAAAATGGATTAGGTTCCAAACAAAGGGAAGAACATTTTAAGTGAGATCTGGTAAAAGAAGTAATTTCAGTAATGAAAATTTTGCTAGAAAATTTGAGGAAAAAACTAATGAAGATATTTTGCCAAAAACAACCAAAAGCTCTTCAATTAAACCACCAAACAACTGTTCATTGAATACAAAAACCTTCCTAAATAATGTCATATGTAACTTATTAAGAACATGTTTAATTGCAGATATTTTTCATTAGCTATAGGTAAGTCATGTGACATGAGACACTGCCTAATTAACACTTTGAGTATGCTTTCTCTCAACCTTCAGATTTGCTAAATTAAAAAATATTTTCAACTCATAGCCTAAATAATCAAACTCATGAAATAGATTTTTAAAATTTACATCAAAGAAATAATTTCTACTAAATGTGAAAACATTAGTATCTATCACAACATGTGGTATTCCTGTTATATTAGATCAAAAATCCAGATTTTTTGACTTTTAAAACAAAAAAATTCCTTTATTGATTTATTGCACAGTTTGAAGTATATTAAAAATATCTTTTCTTAGTAAGTAAAGAAATGGCAATGTGCCTACATTTTCTTGATATCACACTACACATGAAGAAGCTAAGTTTGAAGCTCCAAGGAAAGGAAGAGCTTATTAGTGAGAAGGACACAAAGAGTTGTGTTGAAACAGAGCTTTTCATAAAACAAATCAATATAATTATTTTACACATTAATATGAATCAATATGAAAAAATTTTTGAATATTTAAAATACATGCATGTTATTTATGTCTCTCTCTTATAGGGTATACTCTATGTCCTAGTCATCTATGTATTTTTTTAAATTTTTCATTTTTAAATTGATCTTTAATTGACAAATAATAGGTGTATATATTTATGGGATACAGTGTAATGTTTTGATATATGTATACATAATGGAATGGATAAATCAAACTAATTAACATATCCATCACCTCACATACCTACTATTTATTTGTAGTGAGAACATTTAAAATTTAAAATCTATTTTTTAGCAATTTTGAAATATACAATGTATTAACTATAGTCACCATACTGTGCAATAGATCCCTAAAGCTTAATCCTCTCCTCTAACTGCAACTTAGACTAACATTCTCCTTTCGACTAACATTCTGCCTTTCTCCTTCCACCCACCTCTCCAACGTCTGGTAACCATTATTCTACTCCCTGCTTATATGAGTTTGACTTTTCTAGATTCCACATACAAGTGAGGTCATGCAGTATTTGTCTTACTGTGCCTGGTTTGTTTAACTTAGCATAATGTCCCCCAGGTTCATCCATACTGTCACAAATGGCAGAATTTTCTTCTTTTATTAAGGCTCAACAGTATTCCATTGTATATACATGCCACATTTTCTGTATCCATCCATCCATTGATGGTCAATAGCATTATGGAAATGTATTGCAAAAACAAAACAAATTTGAAGAAAGCTTTATTAATGTTGATAAATTTAGAGCTGTTTTAAAATTTATGCAATACCCCTTTGACTTTTCTATTAATATTGCTGAGTCAGAGAATTTACTTAAACTTGGGCAGACATAATTTTAAAGTTGAAATGGTTATATTTCAAAGTCAACTTAATTCTTTTAAAAGTAATGAACCAGTTTTATCAACATAGGTCCAAATATTAAAGGAAAATGATTTTTGGTGTTCAATTCAGTTATTTGAAAACTTTATGTTTAGAAAAACTTGGTTATATGAATCCACTTTTTCAACTGTAATTCTACAAAGTCTAAATATAGATTGTGTATTTTCAATTAAAGTTTACTGTCTGAATTGACATGTGCTAAAAGTATAAATTGCACATCTGATTATGAAGACATAGTACACAAAAAGAATGTAAAATATTTTATTAGTAATTTTTGTTTTGAAATACTAATATTTTAAGTAAATTGGGTCAAATAAACATTAAATTTTACCTATTTAAAAAGTTTTAATATGGGTATTAGAAAATTTAAAGTTACATATGTGGCTCACGCTATTTCTGTTGAAGAATGCTCTGATAGAGAAAATAAAAGGGTAATTCGGTCTTTCCTCTAGCATGATTGATCAAAATTAATGTTTTATCATTGTTTGTTAGAAAGTTTATTTCAGCTTCACAATCGGTTATTGGTACTGTCACGCTGATTTTGGGGATTGTTGTCAACTTTGATAAAATCCTTCTTTCACTTCCAAGCTTGAAGATTTGGAAGAATTTTCCACTGGCTAGTTCTGTACATTTCAAATCTTTCTCACTCACTACACAAATATTTCTGGTACCGAACATCATAGGTCACACCCATATCAAAATATGGCTTTAAAACTTTCTGTTGCATACCCGATGAGTTGGCACAGGAGGTGGTAGGGGTATTCCTAGAAGCCATTCTTACATCTGAACTGTATGTACATGGGAGTGACTTCAGAATTCATAAATATATATTACTAAACCCAAACTAAATGTGCCCAAGATTCATCTTTCCTTTAGCTGGATTCCAAAAATGTCTGCAGCCATTCAAATACTACCCAAAATACAGAGAAATATGATAGGGAAATTAAAGGTGAAAGAAACAGAGGTATTAACCTATTGCAATTAAAATATTTTACTTTTGCATAATTTACAAAAACATGTAACCATGAGGAAACATTTCTAGACCCCTCTCAACATCTTGGGAGGGGCCTATGAAAGAGCTGGACCCTGAAGCTTAAGCTGCAATATTTGCCTCTGAGTGTAAACCTTTTGTTTTACAAATGGAACTATTTGTACTTTTGTGCATATTACTTTCCTTACTCAAAGATATTTCAAAGAACTTCTTCAAGTCAGTTGGTGTCACTGTATTTCATTGTTTTAAGTGTTGCATAATATTTAAAAACATTATGTATTGTGATTTATTCTTTGTCTACTGGTGAGCATTCACTTAATTTTGAATTACTTTTTTATTTTCCACTAAGTACAAAACTGCAACAAACATCACTGTGTACTTCCCTTATACTGAGGTGCCTTTATTTCTATGAGAGAAATTTCCCTGTGGGTCAAATGTAAGTTAATCATACATCCAAGTCTCCCTGGAATATTCCTGTTTATGACCTGGCATAATTATTACTAGCACTCCTTTTCACTCTCAAAAGTTTCCCAGTTTGGATGATAAATGTTTGTATACCTTAGTGAAAGGATACATATATTTTAATATCTATGATAGTAACAATGGATATCATTGAGAATTTTTAATGTGCCAGACATTGCTTTAAGCACTTTACAGGTACTGTCTCAGTTTCCCACAAACATGATATTATCATGCTTATTTTACAAATAAGGAAGCTGAGACATAGAGAAATTAAGTAACTTACTCAAGGTGGCATTGCTAGTTAAGTATGGAGCCATGATTTAAACCCAGACAGTCTGGCTCTAGAGTAGGCTGACAAACCAAGCTGGTTTGCCTAGGACTGAAGGGATTTCCAGGATGTGGGCTTGCAGTTGTAAAATCGGGAAATAACCTAGCAAACCAAAGTGACCTCTGAATGAGATGCGGAGGGACTGATCTTAATGCCATTGCTTTCCAAAACAGCTGTATCAGTTTCCATTGCCACCAACAATGTTAGCCTGCAGTCTTTTTCTCCACAACTGCCATATGAAGCCTCTAAGATAACTGCCAGTGATCCGCTTTCCTGGTATTTATGCCTTTGTTTAATCTCTTCCCTTTATGTATAGACTGGACTGAGTAATTTGCTTCTAATGAATAGAATATGGAAAGAATAATGCATGTCACTTCTGAGATCAGGTTACAAAGACCTCTGGCTTCTGTTTTATTAGCTCTCTCCTGCTGTCTGGTTCACTCATTTTGATGGAGCACTTTGTGTTCCGTGGAGAGGCCCATGGGACAAGGAACTGAGGGAGGCCTTGGATTAACAGCCAGTGGGAAACTGAGGCCCTCAACCCAACAGTCCTGTGGGAGCTGAATGCTGCCAACAACCATGTGAGTGGTCTTTGAAGTCAATTTCTCCCAGTCAAGCCTCAGATGAGACCATAGGCCCAATTGACACGTTAATTGCAGCCTTCGAGACCCTGAGTCAGCAGAGCCATACCTAGACCCTCAGCCATGAAAACTGCAAGATAATAAACATTTGCGGTTTTAAGTTTTGGGGTAATTTGTTACACAGAAATAGATAGCTAATATAATCTTTATTCTTCTACATTTTAATTCTTCCAGTGAAGATAGTGCAAAATAGATATCACATTTTTATTTGAATTAGTACTTCCTCAGCTACTATTAGTTCAAGCTCCTTTTCAAATAGTTGTTGATAATTTAGATTTGCTTTTCTCTGAATTGCTATTCATATAAATTGCCCAATTTTATACTATTTTATCACTTTATAGATCACAGTTATTAACCCTTAATCTGTTATATGTAGTACAACTATTCTTTCTCAATTTGTCATTTTTCTGATGATTAATTGTGATATCTTTTCAATTTTTATTTTATTATTTTATTTTTGAGACAGAGTCTCTCTCTGTTGTCCAGGCTGGAGTGCAGTGGCAATCTCTGCTCACTGCAACCTGCACCTCCCAGGTTCAAGCAATTCTCCCGCCTTAGCCTCCCAAGTAGCTGGGATTACAAGCGTGTGCCACCATGTGTAGCTAATTTTTCTATTTTTAGTAGAGATGGGATTTCACCATGTTGGCCAGGGTGGCCTTGAACTCCTGACCTCAAGTAATCCGCTTGCCTCAGCCTCTCAAAGTGCTGGGATTACAGGCGTGAACTGCCGCACCTGGCCTTCAATTTTTATGTAATGAAATATATCAATCTTTTTCTTTCTTTCTTCTAGGTTTCTTGTCTTGATTAAGAATTCTCCCTTATCCCAGGCTATACTAATGAACTCCTATAATTTATTTTAAGATTATTATTGTTTTATTGTTTAAAATCAATTCTGTAATCCATCTGGATTTTTTAATACTGTGTTACAATAGGGGTTTAAATTTACTTTCTTTCATTTGTGTTATGATTATTAATTAAACAAGCTTTCCTTTTCCTACTCACATACACTCTTTGTTATTTATAAAATTCTATATATTTGGACATATTTTTATTGCTCTTCATTTTTTATATGACTGATTAATGTAATTACAGTAGCTGTATAATCTTTTCTGCTATTTGGACAGGCATTCTTTTTTTAACTATTATTTTTCATACTTTCTTTGTTATTTTGGTCATTTATTTTACCATATGAGTTTTAAGATAATTTCATCCAATTTCAAAAGAACTACATCCAAAAAAATGGAATTATAAAAAAATGGAATTTAATTTTATGTTTATATTACTTTTGGGGAATTGCCCTTTTAATATTTTATATTGTCCTAGATTTATTCAGATTTTACATGACATTTAATAAAATATATAGTTTTTTAAATGATACAATTTCTATGAATTTCTTAGTAGTTTCTATTTGATAGTTTTTATCACTCTGTTGAAAGAATTTTTTTTCCCATTTCCATTTATAGGTGTTTATTGTTAGAATGCACAATAAGTATTGAATTTTTAATATATTAGTTGTATTCAGCTACCTTACAAAATTATTTTAATTTTAATATATTTTACTTTAAAACTTAAGCTTTTGAGGTTTTTTTTTTTTCTTTTTTTTTTGAAACAGAGTCTGACTCTGTCACCCAGGCTGGAGTGCAGTGGTGTGATCTCGGCTCACTGCAAACCTCTGTTTCCTGGGTTCAAGTGATTCTCCTGCCTCAGCCTCCCAAGTAGCTGGGATTACAGGTGTGTGCCACCATGCCTAGCTAATTTTTTTTTTTTGTATTTTTAGTACAGATGGCATTTCACCATGTTGGCCAGGCTGATCTCAAACTCCTGACCTAAAATTATCTGCCCACCTCGGCCTACCAGTGTGCTTGGATTACAGGCATGAGCCACCCCACCCAGCCGGCTTTTGAGTTTTATAGAGGCTTTTGGATATATAATCATGTAATCAACAAAAATAAATATTTTCACTCTTTTCCCCAATATTTATAGTAATTATTTAATTTCCCACTTTGATATATTTAGTAGAACCTTCAAGACAATGTTGAACAAATGGCAATGGAAGGCATTTGAGTCTGGTTTCTGTTTCAGATAAAATAGTTTCCAGGATTTTACTCCTAGAATGATACCACAATTGCTTTATAAATTTCTTCATGTTTGTCATTATATAGTATTCCCTTTATTTCTATTAACAATTTTAATTCTAAAATATGACCTTATATATTTTAATATTTTCATTTCTGTTATTTTGTTTGCCTTTGCTTTTCACTTCTTTTCTATTTATTTCCAGCTTTATTTTATTTTAGGTGTATTTCTAATGAGCAGGATAGAACTTTTTTAAAAAAATGTGTCTAACTTTTTAGCCCCATGTTTGGTTTTTATTGGGGATAATTCTACTTATATTTAATGTAACCACTGATATACTTGATTTTATTAATTTCTTCTTTATATTTTAAGACATAAAATGTACAATTTTCTGGGAAAAGTACTAATTACTAGTCATAACTCAGTAAATTTTAACAGAATAGAATTGCAAAATGGTTTGATAAGATAGTTTTATCAAACCTTAATGAACAGATAATACCAATGCTATACAAACTGTTGAAGAGAGTGTACAAAGAAGTAAACTACCCAACTTTGTACTTTCATGACTTACATACGAAAATGGACAAGGAGAGTACAAGAACAGTATATATGGATTAATCTCTGCGTGAAAACAGATGTACTAAGTCTAAGCAAAATATTACCACATTGAATTCAATAATGCATTAAAACGTAGATCATACTAAGTAGAACTTAACTCACTCTTCTAAGGATATTTCAGCCACCAAAAATCTTTCAATATAATTCCTCAATTTAACAAATTAAAAAAAGTAATCCACATGGACATCTTAGTTTAGGGAAGGATTTCTTACACAAGACAAAAAGTACACATCATTAAGAAGATTGGTAGGATTGATTACATTAAAGCTCATGCTTAGCATGACATGTCACAAAATACTTTTAAAATGCCACAAACTGGGAAAGATGTTTATAATGCACATACTGAGAAGGTATAAGCACTACAAAGTAAGGAAAAGACAACAACAAAAAGCAAACAAAGAATGGAAACAATTGGCAAAGACAATTCCCTGAAAATGAATTTTGAATAACCAATAAACATAGTTAACACAGGTAACAGGGACATTTAAATTAAGGCCCCAATGAGGTGCCAGTTGTATTTCCATCTACTAGAAAGACAGAAAACAAGAGTTCTGACAATATCAAGTATTGTAAAGGATATAGAAAAACAGGAATTCTCATAGGACTATAAATTGGTACTCCACATTGGATGACAATTCATCAATATTTTTAAAAGTTTGAAATGCACATACTCTTCTATCTATCAATTAATTGTACTACTAGGTATGGCTCTTGAAAAGAAAACTTTAAGTCTCTCACGGATATTCACTGCAATATTGTTTGTAAGAATGAAAAATTACGAAAAAACAAAATGTCTATTCATAAAATAATCAAAAGATAAATTTTAATAAAATGGAACACTATGTATTAGTTAAAATAAAACAGTAGGATTATAAACATCCATGTGGATCTATATTGAAAGTGTTAAATGAAAAAAAGGAGTCAGAATTGTCATATGATATTAATGTAAATTTAAAACACAATATGTCTGTGACATAATTAATATGTCTAATGACTATATACATAAATAGTAAAAGTATAAAGGCACAGACGGATAATACATACCAACTTCAGGATGGTGATTAACTCATGAAGGCAACATGGAAATAGGTTTGTGACAGGATATAAAAGAGATTTTAAAAGTATCTGTAATGCTTTAAAAAATAATAGCCAATATTTGAAACAAATATAAGTAAATCAAAGTAAGACATGCTCTTAGAAGAATATTAGGGAAATAGGAAAAATATTTTAAAAAATTAATCCATAATCTCTCCAGCCAGAGGTGAGCTTTATAACATTTGGTATAGTGCCTTCAAGGACTTTCTTTTCATGCACAATTTGACATGGTTAAAAGCAAATATATATCTTATTTTAAGCGCAGTTTAACTCATAGGCTTTCTTAAATGCTGCATGAAACTCGGTGTATAGAGATTGGTGATGACAGCATTGTTACTACTGTTCAGTGATTTATTAGTCTCTGGAAGCCTTTTTTAAAAATCCCCAAATGCTTTTAAAATCCTTTACCCTCCTATTTTCCTCCTTCTGTGTCTAGCTATAAGGTAATCAAAGGATATGTTTTAATAAAGTGGAACTCTATGTATTAGTTAAAATGAAAACAGAATTATAAACATCTACAAAACATCCAATTTTTGTTACAACAACAAAACTATTTTGAAATATCTAATTTAGTTGATATAGTATCTTGCATGTATTTATTAATTTAACATCCAGTACTATACTTAGGTCTGAGAGTGTAAAGAAAATGTAAAAAGGTTCTTGCCTTCAAGGAGCTCACGCTCTGTAGGGAGACAGAGGGATACCTAAATAATTATAATGTAATGAGCCTGATCTTATATGAAGAAATGATGGAAGAAACATCAGTTACTGACTGACCGAGCCAGAGAAGACGCTGCAGAAAAAATAGCATTTGAGCTAGGTCCGGCAGGATATTTAAGTGGAGTGTCATACAAAGGAAAAAAGACCTACAAATTAGAGGAGACATAGATATGTTCTGAGAACTGGATACATTTTGTCTCAGCTCATGCCATATTTTCTTTTAGGTCAGACTATAATTTACTGTGGTGGTTAGGTTTATGTAATTAGTTAAATTAACAGGATTAAAATTTGTTATATAGGAATGTCATTCCATGTAAAAATTAAAATATGTCATATAGGACTCCCATTCTATGTAAAAACGTTTTGCACTACGAATTCTAAGGGCATTTAATAAGGGACCACTAAATAACTTAACAATGAATTGTGACAACAGCAAAAACAGGGCATTTCATGCTAGTTTACTCTTCTGGGTAAATTTATCTCTGTTTTTATTAGAATGATTTTTTTGAAAGGCAGCAGGGATTTCACAGATTATAGGAAAACCTGCATTACATGTCAGAGTTTTAAGTATATTTGGAAGAGTAGCAGCAACATATTTTTTAATAATATTTGGTCCATGAGTAGCAGACCAAAGAGTAAACACTTCAAAGCACTTTAAAGAGCGTGTGTATGTGTGTGTGTGTGTGTGTGTGCACGCATATGTGATATGTTGTTTTATGTCTACTCATTACAAACCTGTCTACTGACACATTGATCAGTGAGTTCAGAGTTGCCAAGTGGTGTGTGAACTGGGGATGTTCCTCATCATAGCTCTGCAAATTAGAAATAGATGTTGAGCATAAGTAATTACAAAAGGACTTCTGGTTGCTTGTGAAAGAGGTCCCTTAAGATGTACACAAAACTTATAACACATTCATCAAGAGCTCAGAGGCCTTTTGTGACATCTAATTTTTTTTTTAAACAGGACTCTGGGCTTCCAAAGTTATAATAACTAGGTACTTTTGGACTCATAAATATATATGATGTATAACAAGTATTTAAGCAATATTTTGTTAACAACAACAAAAATGTCCTTAAATTTTAAACAAAAATCATGATTTTGTGAGGATATAGGAACAATTTAATGAACCTGGAAAGCTTAGAATGAAAACTTTACTTTCAGTTAAGTTTAGCTGTGAGTATTAAGAAAAAAAGAGGAAAGATGCTTTAGGATTAAATTATACTTTTGGTTGTCATTTTGCTTCCTGAAAATCCTGAAACAGTTCAATTTGATTTATGAACGCATATGAAATGCAATCAAACTTTTCCCAAAGTATGTCTAAATAAATTGTAATTCCATACAATGTATTCCTTTTATAACATGTAAGATCTCTTATCATTAGTATTCATATAACTTGAAGAACATGATAGCATTTCAAAGGAAATATATGTTCATATGGTAATAATATAGTAAGATGAATATGTGGTCACATTTATGCCAAAATATCAGGTAACCAAAGTATGGGTTCCTGGCTAATGTGGACTTCAATCAAAACTCTCATTTTATAATTGGCAATTTCCATCCAGTTTTTCTAGAATTTACTGACATTTTGAGTAAAATGTATTAGCTCCATGAAATACTTGGCACATATTTAATTTATATGATAGACATATCATAGCTATATTGCATGTGTGCCTAAGTGCACACTCTTGTTAGCATAAAATTCACATGCTGCAGTGGGCATATAAAAGAAGTAATCTATTAAACTATAACCACATGTATAAAAATAATAGGAGAATTGAGGAATTGATAGCTTTCCTAAGTAGGAGTTTTGCCTACTAATGAAGAAACCATGACCTTCCAAAAAGTCAAAATGTTACATGAAATCTAAATTCATTTAGATTGAAGTGTGATAGTAATTAAGAGGAAAACTAAACTCCATAACAAATCATGATGTGATGCTCTACAATGTCATTAAAGCATTAAAGATAGTCACTCCTACTTTTGAAGTTGTCTTTGTAATGATTATGTTCTTCTGAGACCAGTGATTGTATAATGAACAAGAATTGGCAGGTAATTTAATGCTTGATACTTAATAATTTCCATAGCTCATACAGTATACCATAATGAAAATAAGACCAATGTTGATATATGTGGATAATGAGTGCATGTCTCCAATTTAGGAAATTTTATTAATATTTCTTTTTTTCATGAAAACTTTATTATTATTATTATTATTATTATTAGAGACAGAGTCTCTGTTACCTAGGCTGGAGTGCAGTGGGATAATCATAACTCACGGCCGCCTAAAACTCCTGAGCTCAAGTGATTCTCCTGCCTCAGTCTCCTGAGAAGTTGGGACTGTAGGCCTGTACCACCAAATCCCACTAATTTGTTTATTTTTGAAGATACGGGGGTCTCCTATGTTGCCCAGGCTTGTCTGGAACTCCTGGCCTCAAGCAATCCTCCTACCTCAGTCTCCCAAAATGCTTTGATTTTTGGTGTCAGTCACTGTGGCCAGCCAAACTTTTTTATGAATGATATTTTTCTATTAAAGTAAAATGGATAGAATCTGAAATACAACAAACAATTTAATCATTTAAATTTAAACTTATTTTAGTTGGACATTTAACTTCTTTGCTAAATTCTAGATACTTGAAATTTTGTTCTCATCAGTATTTAACAAATATAGATATTAAGTAAATGATGTGAAATACTTTGTTTAAAAATACATGAAATATTGTTTTGTCCGTAATACTCTGACTGTTCAAAAATTGAGTCCTGACTCCTAATAAAGTGAATTCTACTGTAATGTGTAATGGTGATATAAAGACAAATTAGACACATTGTGTCTGCCTTGAAAGAAATCATAATGAGGTAAAAGAGGAAACATTTGAATTTTTTTTTAAATTTTATTATTATTATACTTTAAGTTTTAGGGTACGTGTGCACAATGTGCAGATTAGTTACATATGTATACATGTGCCATGCTGGTGTGCTGCACCCACCAACTCGTCATTTGGCATTAGGTATATCTCCCAATGCTATCCCTCCCCCCTCCCCCCACCCCACAACAGTCCCCAGAGTGTGATGTTCCCCTTCCTGTGTCCATGTGTTCTCATTGTTCAGTTCCCACCTATGAGTGAGAACATGTGGTGTTTGGTTTTTTGTCCTTGCGATAGTTTACTGAGAATGATGATTTCCAATTTCATCCATGTCCCTACAAAGGACATGAACTCATCCTTTTTTATGTCTGCATAGTATTCCATGGTGTATATGTGCCACATTTTCTTAATCCAGTCTGTCATTGTTGGACATTTGGGTTGGTTCCAAGTCTTTGCTATTGTGAATAGTGCTGCAATAAACATACGTGTGCATGTGTCTTTATAGCAGCATGATTTATAGTCCTGTGGGTATATACCCAGTAATGGGATGGCTGGGTCAAATGGTATTTCTAGTTCTAGATCCCTGAGGAATCGCCACACTGACTTCCACAATGGTTGAACTAGTTTGCAGTCCCACCAACAGTGTAAAAGTGTTCCTATTTCTCCACATCCTCTCCAGCACCTGTTGTTTCCTGACTTTTTAATGATTGCCATTCTAACTGGTGTGAGATGGTATCTCATTGTGGTTTTGATTTGCATTTCTTTGATGGCCAGTGATGATGAGCATTTTTTCATGTGTTTTTTGGCTGCATAAATGTGTTCTTTTGAGAAGTGTCTGTTCATATCCTTTGCCCACTTTTTGATGGGGTTGTTTGTTTTGTTCTTGTAAATTTGTTTGAGTTCATTGTAGATTCTGGATATTAGCCCTTTGTCAGACGAGTAGGTTGCGAAAATTTTCTTCCATTTTTTAGGTTGCCTGTTCACTCTGATGGTAGTTTCTTTTGCTGTGCAGAAGCTCTTTAGTTTAATTAGATCCCATTTGTCAATTTTGGCTTTCGTTGCCATTGCTTTTGCTGTTTTAGACATGAAGTCCTTGCCCATGCCTATGTCCTGAATGGTAATGCCTAGATTTTCTTCTAGGGTTTTTATGGTTTTAGGTTTAATGTTTAAGTCTTTAATCCATCTTGAATTAATTTTTGTATAAGGTGTAAGGAAGAGATCCAGTTTCAGCTTTCTACATATGGCTAGCCAGTTTTCCCAGCACCATTTATTAAATAGGGAATCCTTTCCCCATTGCTTGTTTTTCTCAGGTTTGTCAAAGATCAGATAGTTGTAGATATGCAGCATTATTTCTGAGGGCTCTGTTCTGTTCCATTGATCTATATCTCTGTTTTGGTACCAGTACCATGCTGTTTTGGTTACTGTAGCCTTGTAGTGTAGTTTGAAGTCAGGTACCGTGATGCCTCCAGCTTTGTTCTTTTGGCTTAGGATTGACTTGGCGATGTGGGCTCTTTTTTGCTTCCATATGAACTTTAAAGTAGTTTTTTCCAATTATGTGAAGAAAGTCATTGGTAGCTTGATGGGGATGGCATTGAATCTATAAATTACCTTGGGCAGTATGCCATTTTCACGATATTGATTCTTCCTACCCATGAGCATGGAATGTTCTTCCATTTCTTTGTATCCTCTTTTATTTCATTGAGCAGTGGTTTGTAGTTCTCCTTGAAGAGGTCCTTCATGTCCCTTATAAGTTGGATTCCTAGGTATTTTATTCTCTTTGAAGCAATTGTGAATGGGAGTTCACTCATGATTTGGCTCTCTGTTTGTCTGTTATTGGTGTATAAGAATGCTTGTGATTTTTGTACATTGATTTTGTTTCCTGAGACTTTGCTGAAGTTGCTTATCAGCTTAAGGAGATTTTGGGCTGAGACAGTGGGGTTTTCTAGATATACAATCATGTCATCTGCGAACAGGGACAATTTGACTTCCTCTTTTCCTAATCGAATACCCTTTATTTCCTTCTCCTGCCTAATTGCCCTGGCCAGAACTTCCAACACTATGTTGAATAGGAGTGGTGAGAAAGGGCATCCCTGTCTTGTGCCAGTTTTCAAGGGAATGCTTCCAGTTTTTGCCCATTCAGTATGGTATTGGCTGTGGGTTTGTCATAGTTAGCTCTTATTATTTTGCGATACAACCCATCAATACCTAATTTATTGAGAGTTTTTAGAATGAAGCATTGTTGAATTTTGTCAAAGGCCTTTTCTGCATCTATTGAGATAATCACCTGGTTTTTGTCTTTGGTTCTGTTTATATGCTGGATTACATTTATTGATTTGTGTATATTGAACCAGCCTTGCATCCCAGGGATGAAGCCCACTTGATCATGGTGGATAAGATTTTTGATGTGCTGCTGGATTAGGTTTGCCAATATTTAATTGAGGATTTTTGCATCAGTGTTCATCAAGGATATTGGTCTAAAATTCTCTTTTTTGGTTGTGTCTCTGCCAGGCTTTGGTATCAGGATGATTCTGGCCTCATAAAATGAGTTAGGAAGGATTCCCTCTTTTTCTATTGATTGGAATAGTTTCAGAAGGAATGGTACCAGTTCCTCCTTGTACCTCTGGTAGAATTCGACTGTGAATCCATCTGGTCCTGGACTCTTTTTGGTTGGTAAGCTATTGATTATTGCCACAATTTCAGCTCCTGTTATTGGTCTATTCATAGATTCAACTTCTTCCTGGTTTAGTCTTGGGAGGGTGTATGTGTCAAGGAATTTATCCATTTCTTCTAGATTTTCTAGTTTATTTGCATAGAGGTGTTTGTAGTATTCTCTGATGTTAGTTTGTATTTCTGTGGGATCGGTGGTGATATCCCCTTTATCATTTTTTATTGCATCTATTTGATTCTTCTCTCTTTTCTTCTTTATTAGTCTTGCTAGCGGTCTATCAATTTTGTTGATCCTTTCAAAAAACCAGCTCCTGGATTTATTAATTTTTTGAAGGGTTTTTTGTGTCTCTATTTCCTTCAGTTCTGCTCTGATTTTAGTTATTTCTTGCCTTCTGCTAGCTTTTGAATGTGTTTGCTCTTGCTTTTCTAGTTCTTTTAATTGTGATGTTAGGGTGTCAATTTTGGATCTTTCCTGCTTTCTCTCGTGAGCATTTAGTGCTATAAATTTCCCTCTACACACTGCTTTGAATGTGTCCCAGAGATTCTGGTATGTTGTGTCTTTGTTTTCGTTGGTTTCAAAGACCTTCTTTATTTCTGTCTTCATTTCGTTATGTACCCAGTAGTCATTCAGGAGCAGTTTGTTCAGTTTCCATGTAGTTGAGTGGTTTTGAGTGAGTTTCTTAATCCTGAGTTCTAGTTTGATTGCACTGTGGTCTGAGAGACAGTTTGTTATAATTTCTGTTTTTTTACATTTGCTGAGGAGAGCTTTACTTCCAACTATGTGGTCAATTTTGGAATAGGTGTGGTCTGATGCTGAAAAAAATGTATATTGATTTGGGGTGGAGAGTTCTGTAGATGTCTATTAGGTCTGCTTGGTGCAGAGCTGGGTTCAATTCCTGGGTATTCTTGTTAACTTTCTGTCTCGTTGATCTGTCTAATGTTGACAGTGGGGTGTTATAGTCTCCCATTATTATTGTGTGGGAGTCTAAGTCTCTTTGTAGGTCACTTAGGACTTGCTTTATGAATCTGGGTGCTCCTGTATTGGGTGCATATATATTTAGGATAGTTAGCTCTTCTTGTTGAATTGATCCCTTTACCATTATATAATGGCCTGCTTTGTCTCTTTTGATCTTTGTTGGTTTAAAGTCTGTTTTATCAGAGACTAGGATTGCAACCCCTTCCTTTTTTTGTTTTCCATTTGCTTGGTAGATCTTCCTCCATCCTTTTATTTTGAGCCTATGTGTGTCTCTGCACGTGAGATGGGTTTCCTGAATACAGCACACTGATGGGTCTTGACTCTTTATCCAATTTGCCAGTCTGTGTCTTTTAATTGGAGCATTTAGTCCATTTACATTTAAAGTTAATACTGTTATGTTTGAATTTGATCCTGTCATTATGATGTTAGCTGGTTATTTTGCTCGTTAGTTGATGCAGTTTCTTCCTAGCCTCGATGGTCTTTACAATTTGGCGTGATTTTGCAGTGGCTGGTACTGGTTGTTCCTTTCCATGTTTAGTGCTTCCTTCAGGAGCTCTTTTAGGGCAGGCCTGGTGGTGACAAAATCTCTCAGCATTTGCTTGTCTGTAAGGTATGTTATTTCTCCTTCACTTATGAAGCTTAGTTTGGCTGGATATGAAATTCTGGGTTGAAAATTCTTTTCTTTAAGAATGTTGAATATTGGCCCCCACTCTCTTCTGGCTTGTAGAGTTTCTGCAGAGAGTTCAGCTGTTAGTCTGATGGGCTTCCCTTTGTGGGTAACCCGACCTTTCTCTCTGGCTGCCCTTAACACTTTTTCCTTCATTTCAACTTTGGTGAATCTGACAATTATGTGTCTTGGAGTTGCTCTTCTCGAGGAGTATCTTTGTGGTGTTCTCTGTATTTCCTGAATCTGAATGTTGGCCTGCCTTGCTAGATTGGGGAAGTTCTCCTACATAATATCCTGCATAGTGTTTTCCAACTTGGTTCCATTCTCCCCGTCACTTTCAGGTACACCAATCAGACGTAGATTTGGTCTTTTCACATAGTCCCATATTTCTTGGAGGCTTTGTTCATTTATTTTTATTCTTTTTTCTCTAAACTTCCCTTCTGGCTTCATTTCATTCATTTCATCTTCCATCACTGATACCCTTTGTTCCAGTTGATCGCATCGGCTCCTGAGGCTTCTGCATTCTTCACGTAGTTCTCGAGCCTTGGCTTTCAGCTCCATCAACTCCTTTAAGCACTTCTCTGTATTGGTTATTCTAGTTATACATTCATCTAAATTTTTTTCAAAGTTTTTAACTTCTTTGCCTTTGCTTTGAATTTCCTCCTGTAGCTTGGAGTAGTTTGATCGTCTGAAGCCTTCTTCTCTCAACTCGTCAAAGTCATTCTCCGTCCAGCTTTGTTCTGTTGCTGGTGAGGAACTGCATTCCTTTGGAGGAGGAGAGGTGCTCTGCTTTTTAGGGTTTCCAGTTTTTCTGCTCTGTTTTTTCCCCATCTTTGTAGTTTTATCTACTTTTGGTTTTTGATGATGGTGATGTACAGATGGGTTTTTGGTGTGGATGTCCTTTCTGTTTGTTAGTTTTCCCTCTAACAGACAGGACCCTCAGCTGCAGGTCTGTTGGAGTTTGCTAGAGGTCCACTCCAGACCCTGTTTGCCTGGGTATCAGCAGCAGTGACTGCAGAACAGTGGATTTTCATCAACCGCGAATGCTGCTGTCTGATCGTTCCTCTGGAAGTTTTGTCTCAGAGGAGTACCCGGCCATGTGAGGTATCAGTCTGCCCCTACTGGGGGGTGCCTCCCAATTAGGCTGCTTGGGGGTCAGGGGTCAGGGACCCACTTGGGGAGGCAGTCTGTCCCTTCTCAGATCTGCAGCTGCGTGCTGGGAGAACCACTGCTCTCTTCAAAGCTGTCAGACAGGGACATTTAAGTCTGCAGAGGTTACTGCTGTCTTTTTGTCGTCTGTGCCCTGCCCCCAGAGGTGGAGCCTACAGAGGCAGGCAGGCCTCCTTGAGCTGTGGTGGGCTCCACCCAGTTCGAGCTTCCCAGCTGCTTTGTTTACCTAAGCAAGCCTGGGCAATGGCGGGCGCCCCTCCCCAAGCCTCGCTGCCACCTTGCAGTTTGATCTCAGACTGCTGTGCTAGCAATCAGTGAGACTCCGTGGGCGTAGGACCCTCCGAGCCATGCACAGGATATAATCTCCTGGTGCACCGTTTTTTAAGCCTGTCGGAAAAGCGCAGTATTAGGGTGGGAGTGACCTGATTTTCCAGGTGCCATCTGTCACCCCTTTCTTTGACTAGGAAAGGGAACTCCCTGCCCCCTTGCACTTCCCAAGTGAGGCAATGCCTCGCCCTGCTTCGGCTCGCGCACGGTGTGCTGCACCCACTGTCCTGCACCCACTGTCTGGCACTCCCTAGTGAGATGAACCCGGTACCTCAGATGGAAATGCAGAAATCACCCGTCTTCTGCGTCACTCATGCTGGGAGCTGTAGACCGGATCTGTTCCTATTCGGCCATCTTGGCTGCCGCATTTGAATGTTTAAGCTTGTGAATATCTTGTCTTCACATATTAATCAAAACAAAACCAGAAGACTGTATTCCATCCATGCATTCCTATACAAAGGCTTGAGCAGAAGCTGAGGCAAAAGGCTTATACATTTATTTGTACTTTTCTTTTGTGAAGTGCCTGTTGGTAGTTTTTAGTCCAGTTTTCTATTAGGGTATTTTTTTCACCGTGTGAATTATTTGTGAAAGCATGTGTTATTCCATTTTGTATTGCTGTAAAGGAATACCTGAGACTGAGTAATTTATAAAGAAAGGAGGTTTGTTTGGCTTGCAGTTCTGCAGGATGTTCAAGCATGGCATGAACATCTGCTCAGCTTACAATGAGGCCTCAGGAACCTTTACTCATGGTGGAAGGTAAAGGGGGAGAAGGCATATCACATGATGAGAGAGTGAGCAAGAGAGAAGAGGTAGATCCTAGACTCTTTTTAACAGCCAGATCTCATGGTAACTCATGACCTCCACAGGGAGGGCACCAGGCCATTCATGAGGGATCCATTCCCATAATGCAAACACCTCCCAGTATGCCCATCTCCAACAGTGGGGAACACATTTCAACATGAGATTTGGAGGAGACAAGTATACAAACCATATCAGAGAATATCAAATCATTTGATAACATTAATTTCTAGCAGTTGTATGATTTTTCTGTCTCAGTCATTAGTACCTAATTGGTTAAAAAGATGCAGAAGGGGCCACTGAGAACAACTGAGTTCAATCCAAGATGGATTCACCAGAAAGCTGACTTTGAGATGTAGGTTAGCATACAGGAGATTTATTGAGTGATTTCGGAGGCAACACCTGTTAAAGGGAAGCCAGAAATGGCAGCTGGAGAGATCAGGCTGTGATGAAGTCTCAATATAGCCATCCAAAGGCTCCCTAGGGAATTCTGAAACTGGGATGACTCTTCAAAGTCATTCCAAGTTGGCGATAGGACAGGACTATTATACACTTGTGTTGACCTGACATTGAAAGCAGCTTGCACCTGGAAGGGGGCATGGCCTTGGGTCAGTCCATTCTCTTCAGTTGAGGCAATTCCAAAAGAAAGCTGACAGCTGAAGACTGTCTGCCAGCAACACATCATACAGCTAGGAGAATAAATGTTTTATATCTGAAGTTGAATCTGGGTGGTACATTAAAGTGTCAACTGCAAATAGGAATAGGGTTTTGCTCAGTGTATGTGGTAAAATAACAAGAGTGAATGTAGTTACTGGCAAGAGAGTTGTTAAGTGATGGGCCATTGTGTCTAAACTAAATAAGTAAATGTGAAGATGGAAAGGGACTGATAGGTTGGATGAAACTAGATGGATAAAAGGATAGAGATGGGATTAAACAATAGATGTAGTGTGGAAGAGAGAGGAAGTGATTGGACATTGTATCCACAGAATGAGTTACTAGAGATTAAATATCTATATGAAGTAGTTGCTGTTCATAATGAAATACATGGGTTAGCCTTAGACATGGTAATCTGAATAGAATTAAAGCAAAGATTACGTAAGTAGAAATCAAAACACTCAGGCTCAAGAGATTGATTGAAAATGTACGAGGAAACTGACAGTTCCCAAAATGATGATAGGCTTGAGGTGGAAAGCAAGATTGGGAGATACATGCTAATTCTCTGATAAATAAAAGAGAGTAAAAAGAAGTTCATAAATTATAGCTATGAGGAAGTATGGACTATAGCATCATCTGATGAGATTAGACTCATTTTTAAATGAGTGTGAAGGAATACTACTGGAATTTACACTGTCATGTGGAAGAATGAATGTCATTTCACCTCCAACTACTGTGATATTTTATTCAGGGATTTAGCAAGTTCATTTTCTTCTTCTTTTTTTTTAATTTTAATAGGTTTTTAGGAAACAGTTCGTATTTGGTTACATGAATAAGTTCTTTAGTGGTGATTTCTGAGATTTTGGTGTACTCATCACCTGAACAGTGTACACTGTACCCAATGTGTAGACTTTTATCCCTCACTGCCCTTCCACTCTTTCCCCTGAGTCTCCAAAGTCCATTGTATCATTCTTATGCCTTTGCATCCTCATAGCATAGCTCCCACTTATGAGTGAGAACATATGTTTGGTTTTCCATTCCTGAGTTACTTCCCTTAGAATAATGGTCACCAGTTCTATCCAGGTTGCTGCAAATGCCATTATTTTGTTCCTTTTTATGGCTAAGTAGTATTCCATGGTGTGTGTATGTGTATATATATATATATATACATGTATATATCCACCACATTTTCTTTATCCACTCGTTGATTGATGGGCATTTGGGCTGGTTCTATATTTTTGCAATTGTGAATTGTGCTGCTATAAACATGTGTGTGCAAGTATCTTTTTTTGTATAATGACTTATTTTCCTCTGGGTAGGTACCCAGGAGTGGGATTGTTGGATCAAATGGTAGATCTACTTTTACTTCTTTGAGGAATCTCCACACTGTTTTCAGTGGTGGTTTTATTAGTTTACATTCCCATCAACAATGTAAAAGTGTTCCCTTTTCACCACATCCATGTTAACATCCATTTTTTTTTTTTGTTATTATGGCCATTCTTGCAGGAGTAAGGTGGTATCTCATTTTGGTTTTGATTTGCATTTCCCTGATCATTAGTGATGTTGAGCATTTTTTTATATGTTTGTTGGCCATTTGTATATCTTCTTTTGGTAACTGTCTATTCATGTCCTTAACTCAATTTTTGATGAGACTGTTTTTTTCTTGCTGATATGTTTGAGTTCCTTGTAGCTTTTGTTGGATGTGTAGATTGTGAAGATTTTCTCCCACTCTGTGGGTTGTCTGTTTACTCTGCTGATTATTTCTTTTGCTGTGCAGAAGCTTTTTAGTTTAATTAAGTCCCATCTATTTATCTCTGTTTTTGTTGCATTTGTTTTTGGGTTCTTGGTCATGAAGTCTTTGCTTAAGCCAATGTCTAGAAAGGTTTTTCCAATGTTATCTCCTAGAATTGTTATGGTTTCAGGTCTTAGAATTAAGTCTTTAATCCATCTTGAGTTGATTTTTGTTTAAGGGGAGAGATGAGGATCCAGTTTCATTCTTTTACGTGGCTTGCCAATTATCCCAGCACCATTTGTTAAATAGGGTGTCCTTTATGCACTTTATATTTTTGTTTGCTTTGTCAAAGACTGGTTGACAGTAAACATTTGGCTTTATTTATGGGTTCTGGGTTCTGGATTCTCTATTCAGTTCCATTGGTCCATATGTTATTATACCAGTACCATGCTGTTTTGGCAACTGTGGCCTTATAGTATAGTTTGAAGTTCAGTAATGTAATGCCTCTGGATTTGTTCTTTTTGCTTAGTCTTGTTTTGGTTATGTGGGCTCTTTTTGGGGTCCGTATGAATTTTAGGATTGTTTTTTCTAGTTCTGTGAAGAATGATGGTGGTAATTTGATGGGAATTGCATTTAATTTGTAGATTGCTTTTGGCAGTATGGTCATTTTTCACAATATTGATTCTGCTCATTCATGAGATTGGGATGTGTTTCTATTTGTTTATGTCAATCTATGATTTCTTTCAGCAATGTTTTGTAGTTTTCCTTGTAGCAGGCTTTCACCTCTTTGGTTGAGTATATTCCTAATTTTTTTTTTTGTAGCTATTGTAAAAGGGGTTGAGTTCTTGATTTGATTCTCAGCTTGAAAACTGTTGGTGTATAGCAAGGCTACTGATTTGTGTATGTTAATTTTGTATCCTGAAACTTTGCTGAATTCATTTACCAGTTCTAGGAACTTTTTGTATAAGCCTTTAGGGTTTCCTAGGTATGTGATCATGTCATCAGCAAACAGTGACAGTTTAACTTCCTCTTTATTGATTTGGATGGCCTTTATTTCTTTCTTTTATCTGATTTCTCTGGCTAGGACTTCCAGTACTATGTTTAATAGAAGTGGTGAAAGTGGGCATCCTTGTCTTGTTCCAGTTCTCAGGGGGAATGCTTTCAAATTTTCCCCATTCAGTATAATGTCGGCTGTGGGTTTGTCATAGATGCTTTTATTACATTAACGAATGACCTTTATGCTAATTTTACTTAGGGTTTTAATCATAAAGGGATGCTGGATTTCATCAAATGCTTTTTCTGCATCTATTCAGATGATCATGTAATTTTTGTTTTTAATTCTGTTTATGTGGTGTATCACATTTATTGATTTGTGAATGTTAAACCATCCCTGCATTCCTTGTATGAAACCCAGTTGATCATGGTGGATTATCTTTTTGATATGCTGTAGGATTCAGTTAAGTAATATTTTGTTTAGGATTTTTGTATCTATGTTAATCAGGGATATTGGTCTGTAGTTTTCTTTTTATGTTATGTCCTTTCCTGGTTTTGGTATTATGGTGATACTGGCTTCATAGAATAATTTAGGGGGGATTCTCTTTTTCTATATCTTTTGGAATAGATATCAACAGGATTGGTACCAATTCTTCTTTGAATGTCTGAGAGAATTTAGCTGTGTATCTATCTGGTCCTGGCCTTTTTTTCTCGGTAACTTTTTAATTACCATTTCAATCTTGCTGCTTGTTGTTGGTCTGTTCAGAGTTTCTATTTCTTCCTGGTTTAATCTAGGAGGGTTATATATTTCCAGGAATTTATCCATCTCCTCTAGGTTTTCTAGTTTATGCACATAAAAGTGTTCATAGTAACCTTAAATGGTCTTTTGTATTTCTGTGGGATTGGTTGTAATATCTCCTGTTTCATTTCTAATTGCACTTATTTGGATCTTCTCTCTTCTTTTCTTAGTTAGTCTCGCTAATGGTCTATCAATTTTATTTATCTTTTCAAAGAACCAGCTTTCTGTTTATCTTTTGTATTTTTTTTTTTTCAATTTCATTTAGTTCTGCTCCGATCTTGGTTATTTCTTTTTTTCTTCTAGATTTGGGTTTGGTTCTTGTCTCTCTATCTTCTTGAGATATGACTTTAGATTGTCTATTTGTGCTCTCAGATGTTTTGAAGTAGACATTTGATGCTATGAACTTTTCTCTTAGCACCACCTTTGCTGTATCCCAGAGGTTTTGATAGGTTGTGTCACTATTATTGTTCAGTGTAAATTTTTTAATTTTCATATTGATTTCATTGTTTATGCAGTAATCATTCAGGAGTAGGTTATTCAGTTTCTATGTATTTGCATGGTTTTCAGGGTTTCTTTTGGAGTTGAGTTCCAATTTTATTCCACTGTGCTCTGAGAGAGTACTTGCTATGATTTTGAGTTTCTTAAATTTGTTGAGACTTGTTTTATGGCCTATCATATGGTCTATCTTGGAGAATGTCCCCTGTGCTGATGAGTAGAATGTATATTCTGCAGTTGTTGGGTAGAATATTCTGTAAATATCTGTTCTGTAAATATCCGTTTAGTCCATTTGTTCTAGGGTATAGTTCTTTGTTGACTTTCTGTCTTGAAGACCTGACTGCTGTCTGTGGAATATTGAAGTCCCCGACTATTATTGTGTTGCTGTCCATCTCATTTCTTAGGTCTAGTAGAAATTGTTTTATAAATTTGGGACTTCCAGTGTTAGGTGCATGTATATTTAGGTTTGTGATGTTTTCCTATTGGACTAGTCATTTTATCATTATGTATGTCCTTCTTTGTCTTTTTTAACTGCTGCTGCTTTAAAGTTTGTTTTGTCTAATATAAGAACAGCTACTCCTGCTTGCTTTTGGTGTCTATTTGCATGAAGTATCTTTTTTCACCCCTTTACCTTACGTTTATGTGAGTCCTTATGTGTTGGGTGACTCTCTTGAAGACAGCAGATACTTGGCTAGTGAATTCTCATCCATTCTACCATTCTGTGTCTTTTAAGTGGATCATTTAGGCCATTTACATTCAATGTTAATATTAAGACATGAAGTTCTGTTCTGTTTATCATGCTATTTGTTGCCTGAATACCTTGGTTTTTTTTTCATAGTGTTGTTGTTTTATAGGTCCTGTGAGATTTGTGCTTTAAGGAGATTCTATTTTGGTGTATTTCGAGGATTTGTTTCAAGATTTAGAGGTTAAAAAAAAATTTAGAGCTCCTTTTAGCCATTCTTTTAGTGATGGCTTGGTAGTGGCAAATTCAGCGTTTATTTTTCTGAAAAACACCATCTTTTTTTCATTTATGCAGCTTAGTTTCACTGGACACAAAATTCTTGGCTGATAATTGTTTTATTTAAGGAGGCTAAAGAGAACCCCAATCCCTTCTAGCTTGTAGGATTTCTGCTGAGAAATCTGCTGTTAATCTGATAAGTTTTCCTTTATAGGTTATCTGATGCTTTTGCCTCACAGCTCTTCATCTTGACTTTAGATAACCTGATGACTATCAGGTGCCTAGGCGATGATCTTTTTGTGATGAATTTCCCAGGTGTTTTTTGAGCTTTTTGTATTTGGATGTCTAGATCTCTAGCAAGGCTGGGAAAGTTTTTCTCTATTATTCCCTCAAATATGTTTTCCAAACTTTTAGATTTCTATTCTCCCTCGGGAACATCAATTAGTTTTAGGTTTGATCATTTAATATAATCCCAAATTTTCTTGGAGGCCTTGTTCATTTTAAAAAAAAAATTTTCTTTGTCTTTATCAGATTGGGTTAATTTGAAAGCCTTGATTTCAAGCTCTGAAGTTTTTTTCTTCTACTTGTTTGATTCTATTGTGAGACTTCCCAGTGCATTTTGTAATTCTCTAAGTGTGTCCTTCATTTCCAGAAGTTGTGATTTTTTTTATGCTATCTATTTCACTGGAGATTTTTCCATTCATATCCTGTATCATCTTTTTTGATTTCTTTAAGTTGCACTTAACCTTCCTCTGGTGCCTCCTTGATTGGCTCAGTAGTCGACCTTCTGAATTCTTTTTCTGGCAATTCAGAGGTTTCCTGTTGATCTTGACCCATTGCTGGTAAGCCAGTATGTTCTTTTGGAGGTGTTAAAGAACCTTGTTTTGTCATATTACCAGAATTGTTTTTTTCTGGTTCCTTCTTATTTGGGTAGACTATTTCAGAGAGAAGATCTAGGACTCAAGGGCTTCTGTTAAGATTCTTTGTCTAATGGGGTGCTCTCTTGATATGGTGCTCTTCCCTTTCCCCTAGGGATGGGGCTTCCTGAGAGCTGAAGTGACTGTTATTTTTCTTCTGAATCTAGCCTCCCAGTGGAGCTACTGGGCTCCAGGCTGGTACTGGGAGTGTCTGCAAAGAGTTCTGTGATTTGACCCATCTTCAGGTCTCTCAGCTGTGGATACCATACCAGCACCTGCTCTGGTGGAGGTATCAGGAGAGTGAAGTGGACTCTCTGAGGGTCCTTGGTTGTATTTTTGTTAAGTGCGCTGGTTTTGTTTTGGTTGTCCTCAAGCCAGGAGGTGGTGCTTTCAATAGCACATCAGCTGCAGTAGTATAGGAAGGATCAGGCCGTGGGTGGGGCCATAGAGTTCCCAAGAGATTATGTCCTTAGTCTTCAGCTACCAGGGCCAGCAGACAATAACCATCAAGTGGGGACAGGGTTAGGTGTGTCTGAGCTCAGACTCTCCTTGGGTGGGGTTTGCTGTGGCTACTGTTGGGGGTGGGGTTGCAGTTCCCAGGCCAATGGAGTTATATCCCAGGGGGATTATGGCTGCCTCTGCTGAGTCGCACAGGTCACCAGGAAAGTGGTGGAAAGCCAGCAGCCACAGACCTCACCCAACTCCCACACAGCCCACAGCCCAAAAGGCCAGTCTCATTCCCACTGTGCCCTGCCAACAGCACCGTTTATTTCCAGGCAGCCTATGAGCAGGACTAAGAACTTGCCCCAGGCTACAAACCTCCCTGCTGAGAAAGCAAGCTGACTCACAGAGCCTGCAGTGGCAATCTACTCCTTCAAAGGGTCTGTGGTTTTCTCTGCTTTCCTGGTATGTTCCTATGGTAGTTCTTGGAGCAAAAGTTCATGATGTGGGTCTCCACATGCTGCTCTGTCCATCTGAGTGGCAGCTGCAAGTTAGTCCTGCCTCCTATCCACCTTTTTCCCCCTTTACTCTCAGCAGGTTCATTTTCTAACTTCCTTTCATAGAGAGTCAGTGGCTACTTAGTAGGGGTTCTGGCCTGGTGGGCTAGTGCTAGGGTGTGTCTTGGTCAGGTTGGGTGTTTACATAATTTTGGAATGAATAGAAAGATATAGAAGATGAATACAGGGACCACTAAGAGTACAACCGGAGAAAAGAATAGGTTGTTAAGACAAAAGGGAAAGCATACAACCTAAAATGGGACTCAAAACCAGGAGAGCCTGAAGAGCCAAAATAAGAATTGAAGCACAAGTGCATTAGTAAAACAGAGAATCCACGGATTACTGATGTGATGCAAAATATTTTCTTTCTTTTTTACTTTCTTCATTGCTTAACATTTAGTCCATAAAAGTAAGCATTGGGAGGGAACCCATCTTCTATGGCCTCCCTTTCTCTTTCATTTTCTTAACTGTGCAGTTCTCCAGGATTCTAGTTCAGTCTTGCTAGCCAAGGCCAGGGAATTGTCATTCTTGGCATCATCCTGGGAGGAGGAAGGTAAAATTCTACAAGACTCCTGCATTTCTCATAAATCCTTGAGATTCTTCAGAGTAGAGAATTTATAAGACAAGGAAACATTTCTCCTACTAATATTGCTCACCAATTACAGCATACCTCTGGTGAATTATTATGCTAAAAGACCATCTCCCTGCCATGGGTTGAGAAAGAGGAGGAAACAAAAGTAAAGGAAAGGTGGGAGAGAGCACACTCTCCCAACCATCTGTTCATTGCACTGCTTTTTATGTTTGAATTGAGATCTTGGACTTTTAGATGTCCTCTAACTCTTCGAGTTTTTGACTCTTTGCTAGAACTTCTCTGGTGTAGATAAGACCAAAGTTCTTATTGGCTTGAAGCTGCTAGTCAATCATTCTACTCTTTAGCACACAGATGTGGCCTCTTGCATGCAGAGAATTTTAAAGTGACTATAGCCTTGTGGTCTGTTCTTTTTATAGATGAAAGTAGCATTTGATCATAGCCTCAAGGAAAGTAATTTTAGAAATGCAATGTGGCTGACTTTTTTTCCTAAATAGAAAAATTTAATCTTTTACAAAGGCAATTTTGTTTTCTTTTTATACACCTTTCCATCTTTCATCTGAATACTTTATCTTGCCAACATCATCTCCATTCACTTTTCCACACATATCCTGTGCTTCAGCCAAGCTGAACTATTTATAGCTTCCCAAAGGCATAATGCTCGTTCATGCTTCTGCCCTGTTGCATATTCTGTTTTCTTTGCCTGGAATGCTTCTCCCTCTTTGAGTTCTTGATGGCACTCATTCCTCAAGGCTATTACATTTTTTTTCTTCACTTTCTCTTTCTGCCTATAACCTAACTTTCTGCTCTGGCCCCCTCATTTGGTTAGTGGCTCATTCTTCTGTGTTCCCATATTGCTGAATTTGTAGCATAAGTAACACAATTTTGTAATTATATTTGCCCTTCTATGTTTTCCATTAAGTAGTCAGCTCCTTCAAAACAAGGCTGAAAGTCTAAGCACCATTGTAGCACAAACATGTTGGCCATGTTATAAACGTTAACCAAACATTTACTATATTAGTTATCTATTGCTATTTGTGGCCGAAAATAACAAACATTAATTATCTCACAGGGTCAGGAAACTAGGAGGGACTTAGCGGGATGCCTCTGACTCAAGATTTCCCGGGAGGCTGTAAGCAAGCTGTTGGCTAGAACTGCAGTCTTTTCAAGGCTTGACTGGGGCTGAAGGATTTGCTTCCAAGCTAACTCGTGGCTGTTAACAAGGTTCAGTTTCTGGTGGGCTGTTGAAATGAGGGCCTCAGCTCCTTACCATGCCACGTAGGCCTTTGCATAAGGTTGTTCACAATGTGGTTACTTGCTTTCCTCAGTGCAAGAGATCTGAGAAGGAGGACACACACAAGACGGAAGCCACAGTCTTTTTTTATAACCTATTCCCAGAAGTACAACTCATCTCTTCTTTTTTTTTCTTTTTTATTCTTTTTATTTGAGACGGACTCTCGCTCTGTCACCCAGGCTGGAGTGCAGTGGTGCAATCTCGGCTCACTCCAAGCTCTGCTTCCCGGGTTCACACCATTCTCCTGGCTCAGCCTCCGGAGTAGCTGGGACTACAGGCACCCACCACCACGCCTGGCTAATTTTTTGTATTTTTAGTAGAGACGGGGTTTCACCATGTTAGCCAGGATGGTCTCGATCTCCTGACCTTGTGATCCGCCCACCTTGGCCTCCCAAAGTGCTAGGATTACAGGCGTGAGCCACTGTGCCCGGCCTCATCTCTTCTTTGTTAGAAGCAATTCAACGAGTTCAACTCACACCCTAGGGGACAAAATTTCACAAAAGTGTGAATACCATGAGGTGGGGCTCAATTGGGACCATCCTAGAGGCTGTCTACCACACATTTCATCTGGTAAAGTTGCTGGCTAATTAAGACTTGAATATTTAACACTATTGTTGGTGATAGTAATGGAAGTTCAAACCCGGTATATTTAAGAGAATTGTTACTTTTTAACAAACCTTCACTAGAGAAAGTAAAATGTGTTAATTATTTGGATTATTAACTAATTCTCTTAAATTACTGTTAAATATTATCTTCCTCAAGTGGTACATAGTGAGTACTTTCTCACTGAAAATACTGAAACAGGATACTTGGGCTTTTTTACTTATGATTTCTGTACTGTTTCTCCCAGAAGTGGTAGTCATGTACAATCACTACAACAAAGTTACTTTAAAATGTAAAGATTTCATTGGTCTTATTTATTTATCTATTTAATGAGCATATATTGAACAGTTGCTGTGTACAAAGGACTGCCCTGGTGTTAGATATAATGCCATTTTTTGTACAAATGACAAATTTCTAGCTTTATATTGAAAACCTTAGTTTTTAATTACACAGTGAGAATGTTCATCTATAATATGAATATGGAAATGAAAATGTATAATATAACATTCTTCTAGGTCTGTCCATAAAAGGGAAAACATTTCCATAGGAAGTACTTAAGACAGGGATCTACAAGTTATCACCAACAAACTTAATCTTGTCTACTGCTTGTTTTTGTAAGTAAAATTTTCTTGGAATACGGACACACCCATTTGCTTATATATTTCCTGTGGCTGCCTTCTCGCTACCCAAAGAGAGTAGAGTAGTTACAACAAAGATCATGTAGCCTTACAGAGCTTACAATATTTACCATCTGGCCCTTTACAGAAAAAATTTGTCAACTCTTGACTTAATACCAAAACGTAAAAATTGTGCTTCATGAATTGTTAGATTAGGATTTATTAAATACTTATATTTGATGATTACTTAGTGATGCAAGTGATGCACTTAGGATTTTCCATAATAAGGCATCAAGCCACCTATCTAGTTTTATTTGCTATTATGATTATATTCATATATCTGATAATAATAGTAATAGATAATTTTATTGAGCACTTACTATGTGTCAGGCAATGTATTCACACACAGACATACACATACACACACACACACACGTATCTGTACATGCCTCATTTGTCTTTGTAACACTATGTGAAAGGCACTGTTTTACAGAAGATGAAACTGAAGTTAAATATACCAGAATTTCAGCTTAGGGTTTTCTGATTTCAAAGCCCAAAGTCTTTGTGTATGACTCCTCCATTTCTTAGCATTTCCTCCATGAATATTATATTTTATTCAAACTGAACTCTTCTTTATTCCACAAATGTGCCTCTTTCCCATCTCTCTACATTTTGCTCAACCTGCTTCCAACTCATGGAACGCCCTTCCCAGCCATTTCTTCATGCCTGAATTTTACTAGTCTGTCAGAGGCCTTCATAACTCCTGCCTCTTCCATGACAGCTTTCTTGAATTCCCAGCCAGAAGTAATCTCAGTCCTATTCTTCAGCTGAAAAGCATCTATCATGGTCCCTGGTATACTTAAACTGTTTGTTACATGCTGGGTATTGATGTTAAAATACTAGACTGTAATGTTGCACATGAATTATTTTATAGTCATAGAATATTTTTCTTCTAAAAGATAAAATAAACTATAAGTATTTTTTCTAATGTTGTTATTATAGACTAAACTGACATTCATAATGAATAATTAATATGTAGTAAGGGAATCTGACAAGAAGATAGTCCTCTTATTTCAATCTGAAATTGCAAGTATATTTTGCAGTTTTCCCTAAGCAGTTTTATGTGCCTCATTTCCTTTTTATCAGCAATATTTTGTAACTGCATATGTGAAATGTAGGTTGAGCATGTAAAACTGTCTTGGTCATAGGCTGCTATTTTACCAAGTCCACTGGATAATTGGTATTTTTTGTAAATTATATTATCAAGGATATTTTGGGAATAAACCAGCTTCTTAAGACTCATATATCTTCTAGAATATGCTTCTCATTTGGATTTTCTTTGAAAGGATCATGGAATTATTATAAAAGCCAGACCAGCTTTCTTCATATTATTAAATACATTTGTGTTGGTTTCCATTGACACAGGTTTTGCTTTATCTACTTTACTTCATTTATTACTTTAAAAGGATTGCATTAAGCTAAGAGCTATATAGAGAGAAATATGACTTTATGCAAAAATATAACCTAGTCTGGAAGAGTTAATGAACAATGCAAGATAGTACAAAATCAAATTATCAGTGTAATGGTATAGCTCATGGATTCAGAAGATGAAGATACTTAGTCTTTTCTAAATAATTTAGTACTTAATTATCCACTGTCTTATACTATGTATTAAAATACTCAGAAAAAAAACATTCAAGAAGCTGTTGGCTTACAGTTTGCAGGGAGTTCCCAGCATTTTCTTCTGGCTTTAGTGCAAAAGCAGTTAAGACCAGCCCTTGCAATGAATCATTCCTGTTGTGTTTAATTTTATAAGTTCAACTTAACTAGTCCGTGAGATGCCCACACATTTGGCTAAACATTATTTGGGATGTATCTGTGAAGGTGTTTTTGGATGAGATTAATATTTGAATGGCAGACTGAGTAAAGCAAATCATCCACCCTACTGTTATTGGCCTTATTCAATAAATTGCGGACCTGAATTGAACAAAAAGGCCGAGTAAAGGGGAATTTCTCCTGCCTGACCTCTTGAGCTGGAACACTGTTTTTTTCCAGGCCTCCAGACTTGGACTGAAATGTTGGCTCTTGACTTCGAGTCTGCCAACCTTTGGATTAGAATTTACAGCATCAACTTCCTTGGTTCTCAGGCCTTTGGATTTACAATGGAACTACACATAGGCTGTCCTGCACCTCCAGCTTACCAACTGCAGATCTTTGGACTTCTTAGGCTCCATTAATTATATGAGCTAATGCCTTACAGTAAATCTTTGTCTAGATAGATAGATAGATAGATAGATAGATAGATAGATAGATAGATAGATAGATAGATGGATAGATCCTGTTGGTCCTATTTCTCTGGATAACTTTGAACAGTACAATGTCTCAAAGGATCATCTGCTATTTCTGGAACTAAATTCTGTCCCTACCAATTTGTGTTAATAGCTAAAAGATACTGCTCTCAAATATCACGCAAGTACTCTAGATGTGTTGTCTAAAAAGGATAACTATTTGTTTTCTTGTTTTCCCTCTGGGTTTCTTTGATCTTCCATATTTTATTTTAATTCTGATGGTGTTTCTTTTGATAATGGAAAAGGAAACTCATATACTGAAAACCCCTATTATGTGCCTAAAAACATACAAGTTATTTTTCTTTTCTTTTATCTGCACACGTAAATGATAGAAGATGGTAGTTAATCATTTGCATTTTTACAGTTAAGAAACTTGAAATCCAGAAAGATTAAATAAATGATCTAGTGTTACACAGGCAAGTTGTTCACAGACTTCAGCATCTGGTATTAGGATATAAGTTTCGATGCTTTTAAAAATTAACATTTATTAAAAGACTAAGAGTTAGTTATATTTAAATGTGTATCTTGTAACAACAGGTTGAATAATAAGCAACACAGAATTGATGATGAAACTAACAGCGGAACAGGATTGCATGAGTCAGAACCACAAATCCAGAAATGGATCCGTAAAGACTTTAGATGCTGGAATTATCAGATTAAAAAACCAAAGCCAATTGTATTTGCCATTTTAATATAAAAGTAAGCTTGAAAATGTTTTTAGGAACTAAAAAATACAAACTACTGACATCATATACTTGATTAAGAACCAAATAGAAATTTTAGAACAGAAAAGTCTACTAAAATTAAGAAAATGGTTTGATAGCAGCCTTGACACAGCTGAAGAAAGAACCAATAAACTAGAAAATAAATAGAAGAAACTATTAAAAATGCAACAGAGAGACAGAATGAAAAGAGAGAATAAATGGTTAAAAGAATAAAGTCTGTCTAGCATTACTTCAATAGAGTCCAAAGGGAGAGAGAGAATGGGAAGGCAATATTGGAAGTTATATGGTAGAGAATTTATGCTCCTCCTATAGTCTGTCCCTTTTCTGCTGATGGCAGCTCTATCCTTTTAGTTCCTCAGGCCAAAAGCCTTAGAGTCATTCTTGATTTCTCTCTTTCTCTCCCTATATCCAGCACATCAATAATTTTAAAAAATTTAATTATTTTTAAATAGACAAAAATTATATATACTTATTGTGTACAACAAGCTGTTTTAAAACATGTATACATTGTGGAATAGCTAAATTGAACTGATTAGCATATGTATTACCTCACATACTTAGCATTTTTTTTGTGGTGAGAACTCTTAAGATCTACTCTTTTAAAGAATACAATACATTGTTATTAACTATAGTCACCATATTGTATGATAAACCTCTTGAACTTATTCCTTCTAATTGATATTTTGTGTCCTTTGACCAACATCTCCCCAGTCCCTGGTAACCACCATTCTATTCTCTGCTTCTGTGAGTTCGACTTTGTTTAGATTTCATATATAAGTGAGATCACGTGTCATTTGTCTTTCTGTGCCTGGCTTATTTCACTTAACACAAGGTCCTCCAGGTTCATCTATACTGATAACGGAATTCCCTTCTTTTTTAAGGCAGCATAGTATTCCACTGTATGTATATATTACATTTTCTTTCCATTTATCCATTCATCTCTTAATGGACACAAGTTAATTCCATGTCTTGGCTACTGAATAATGCTACAATAACATGGGAGTGGAGATATCTCTTCTACATAATGATTCATTTCCTTTGGATATATACCCAGCAGTGGGATGGCTGGATTATGTGGTAATTCTATATTTTGTTTTTGAGGAACTCCATACTATTCTCTCTAATGGCTGTACTAATTTACCTTCCCATTAACAGTGTACAGTGGTTCCCCTTTCTCCACACCCTTGCTAGCATCTGTTATTGCCTGTCTTTTTTATAAAAGCCATTTTCCCTGGGGTGAGATGATATTTCATTGTAGTTCTGATTTGCATTTCTCTGATGATTAGTGTTGTTAGGGATTTTTTTCATATACCTGTCGGCCATTTGTATGTCCTCTTTTGAGAAATGTCCATTCAGATCCTTTGCCCATTTTTAAATCAGGTTATTGTTTTCTCACTATGAGTTGTTTGAGTTCCATATATTTTGGATGTTAACTCCTTATCAGAGGTACTGTTTACAAATATTTTCTCCTATTTCATAAATTGTTTCTTCACTCTCTTCATTGGTTCCTTTGCTGTGCAGAGCTTTTTAGTTTGACATAATCCCATTTGTCTATTTTTGCTCTTGCCTGTGCTTTTGAGGTCATAGCCAAAAAATCATTGCCCAAATCAATGTTGTGGAGGTTTTTCTCTGTGTTTTCTTCTAATAGTTTTACCACTTCAATTTTACACTTAAGTCTTTAATTAATTAAGAAAATGTTTTTTTAGAGAGTGGTCTCCCTATGTTTCCCAGACTGGCCTTAAACTCCTGGGTTCAAGCAAACTTCCTGCCTCAGTTTCTCAAGTAGCTGGAAGTACAGACATGTACCATTGCACCCAGCTTTAATCCATTTTGAGTTAGTTTTTGTATATAGTGTGAGATGAAGGTCTAATTTTATTCTTCTGCATGTGAATATCCAGTGTCCCAATGCCATTATTGAAGAGGCTGCCCTTTCCCCATTGTGTGTTGTTGGCACCTTTGAAATAAATTAACCAAAAATATGTGTATTTATTTCTGGGATTTCTGTTCTTTTCCATTGGTTGATGTGTCTGTTTCTATGCCAGCATCAAGTTGTTTTGATTATTATAGCTTTGTAGTATATTTTGAAGTCAGGTAGTGTAATGTGCTCAGTTTTTTCTTTTTGTTCAAGGTTGCTTTGTCTATTCAGGAGCCATCAAAAAAATTCTTGGTCTATTTCAACAGTTCTGGACATTTCAACACATGTCCAGAATCTAATCACTTATCAACTCCAAAATGCTAACGTCATGACCTCTAGCTTGGGTCTCTAGTCTTAACATATCTTCCAGCTTCCAAATATTAAATATTATACTATATAGTACTCAAAGGCATACCCTAAAGATGTTTTTATGGTTGACTTTTTTGTTGTTTTTATTATTTATTTTTCATAGTGTCTATGTCTACTTTTTAAGTTTCTGGAAGTTGGTTCAACTATATTTTGAAGTAGAGTGTGCTCCTACCTCAACTATGCCGATCTTCTTCAGGCTATGTTTCTATGAACCCAATCATACCTATGCATATCTTTTGCATACCTGCTATGACATGCTAACTCTCAGAAGGGTAACATGGCATCAGTCTGAAATTTGAATCCTTTTCTGCCAGTAACTGAGAATATAACTTTGAGATGAGTTTCTCTGTAAAATAGGGATGGTGATAGTGGAATGTATTTTGTAAGTTAATTTGGGTATTAAATGAGATTCAATAAGTAAAATAATTTAACATGGCTTGTCTGCACATAATAAATGCTCAATAAAAGTTATCTATTATTATGTCACTCCCTGCTCAGTCTTCAATATTTCTCATTGCCTACAGAATTAAGTATGTTTATATTCTAATAAAACTTCCTTTCACTCATTCAAACTTATCTCCAGTTTTTTTGTATATGAAATAACAGCTTCAACTGTGCTCTTCCTACCTTCATGCCCTAATATCTAATGTTTTGTTCCAGCTTTCTTGCCTGAAAACTGAAGCCTTTCACAGCTATCTTCTGTCCAAGCCATAGTCTGATTACTCCCCCACCCCACCCTGTTTTTTTTTTATCATGCTTCCTTTATCTGTTATCAGTTCTCAAGTTATATTGCATTGTAATTTGTTTACATGTCTGATGACACATTTAAGAGTATACTTTTGGGCTGGGTGCAGTGGCTCATGGCTATAATCCTAGCACTCTAGGAGGTTGAGGTGGGTGGATCACTACAGCTCAGGAGTTCAAGACTAGCCTGAGCAATATGGCGAAACCCCATTTCTACTAAAAATACAAAAAATTAGCCAGATGTGGTAATGTGCACCTGTAGTCCCAGATACTCAGGATGCTAAGGTGGGAGGATCACTTGAGCCTGGGAAGTTGAGGCTGTAGTGAGCTGTGTTCATGCTACTGCACTCCAGCCTGGGTGATGGTAGTGAGACCCTGTCTCAAAAAAGAAAAGGAAAAAACCCAACAGTATACTTCTCGAGGGCAGGGATTCTTTTGAAAAAAAATTCATAGATTTTATTTTTAGAACTTCTTAGACTCACAGCAAAATTGAGCAGAAATTACAAAGTTCATATATTCTCATACACAAAGCCTCCTCTACTATCAACATTCTGCTCCAAAATGATACCTTTGTTATAATTGATGAAACTACATGGACACATCATTATCACCCAAAGTTTATAGTTTATACAGGTTCATTCTCGATTTATACATTCCATGAGTTGGACAAATATATAATGATGATGTATACTCACCATTATACTGTTAAATATAATAGTTTTACTGCCCTGAAAATCCTCAGTGCTTAACCTATTCATCCCTACCTGCCTCCAGTCCTTGGCCAGAGATTCTTCCTAGTTAATCTTTAGAACATAACATAATATTTGACTCATAGTTGCCCCAAATAAGTGTTCTTACATGTGTAGTTTTTAGATGAATGAAAGAAGGAAGGGATAGGTTGGAGAGAATCAGAGCATCTTGCTGACTAATGTTTTGTGTGTTTCAGTATTGACTCATGGTTTTCTAATCTACTCAGAAGACCACCCCATCTCTTTTGTGATGCCAATTCAAATCCCACCTTTTCTGTTAAATCTTAGAAGAGTGTGCTCTGGACACTTTTAAGACTTATTTTATGAGTCATCCAAGTAATTCTATGTGTCATACTTGAATTTTTTGTTTTATGGGCCTTTGTCTGGATTCCTCAGTGAGACTGAGTTATATTTTTATATGGTAGGTAGAGTTTTATGATAATTCATCCCTTTGTGTTTTATGAGGAAAAGATGCCTTGATGAATTCCTGTATTTCACTGGGGATTGTAGACAGCGATCAGGAACAGAGAAACTTCCTGGTCTATAAAAAATTCAGTCTCAGTCTCTTTTGCAATCAGTTCAGCTAACTGTCTAGGAAAGAAAATTATTGGGAACTAATTAAAAACAACAGAGAAGTAAACTTTTTATTTTTTATTTTTTTGGCAGATTTGAGCTTGCAGCAGTTTTCATAAAAAGCTATTGAAGTTTGCCAAATTGTTGTTAAAATAACTTTTCTATGTGCTACCAGAAGTTATTTATAGAATAATTTTCATCCTTTCCCAAGTATTTTAAACATTCTAAAATGGCATCCTTGATGTTATTTTGCTTTAATATGAATTTAAGAAAAAAATGTTACACATGTTGTTGATTTTCAAGTCATCTTTTCTTTATTCCCCCCTCCTAAATACTGAACATAAGAGAAGATTAATTTAGATTCTGAAATTTTATTCATTTAGCTTTGACCACATAGGTTGCTATACTTATCTAGGAGTGATAATTTTGTGTTTATCTACATCATAAAACCATTTTGCACAAATTTCAGTTTTTCATCAAGCTTCATTCACTAGGGTGCTTTTCTATAGTTTGTGGGATTTCTAGGAAAAGTCATTTGAGGAGGCTTGAATTTGGATTTTATGCATCAGGGAGATATAAAACTCCCACTTTAATAAATATTAATACTCATTTAAGAGATTATTGGGAAAGCTTTAGCCCAATCATATCATAAAATTATATTCTTTTTAGTTAAGGTAAGGTTTTAGTTATTCATATAGTAGTAGCAGTCTTAAGAGCTATGCTGGATAATCTATCATTATGAATTGAATAATAATACACTTGTCTCAGAACAACATTCCAGGGGGTGATAGTTACCATTTTAGAAGGAAACAAAGCATTCAAAAAGCATTATCTTTAAAATATACTACTGAGCATATTCCTCATTATGATCTTGTAATTGATACCAGTTTTAAAAGTTGAAATCTCAATTTATGTTCAGAAAATTAATTTCAAGTCTTAAAAGGTAAACTGAGTGATTAGGTTCATGGCAGTTCTATTTTTATTCACAGATAATGCCTCTGAGGTAGCAGTTACTACTCCAGGAACTAGTAACCATAGAAACAGCTCAACAGGCCCAACACCTGATTGTTCACCTCCATCCCCTGATACTGCCCTCAAAAATATTGTAAAAGTCATTCGACCCCAGGTAAGTGCCCAGAATGGCATCATTTTCCCTCTAATGTGTTTTGATTTGAATCAATGCATGTACATCACTTATATTGCAATGCCTGGACTGTTTTATGTGGTATGTCAATGGATTTCTAAATTAAAAGAGGGGACTCAGAAGAGGATGTTTGCTTCCTTTCAAGTTGGTGATAAACACTGAAATCTGCATTAGTTTTTGGAAAAATGAATTGTGCCTGTTACATGAAGCAGTGAGACTTAGAAAAATAGCTATTTTACATCATTTTTCTCTCACAACATTTTAATAATTATGCTCCAATTATTGAGCTGTTACATATTTTCTGGTGTTTCCTGATCCTTTTGTCTTCATTCTTCTGGACAATGCTGCATGGTTTGTGATTATTTCTCTGTCTTCCAACCCAAGTGATTTTTATATTTCTCTATCTTCTCTATTCTTATGGTTTCAATGAATATTGTCTGCGTTTAATATTGCTCCTTGTTTTCCTCCAGTGTTCCCAGTCCTCTAGCTAGTCTCTCTTTATCCTTTGTTCTTTTTTCCATTCCTGTCTCTTTCCTCTATGGATTTCTCTCTTTTCTCCCTTCTCTTTCAGTTGGATTTTCCAGTAGGCGGTTTGCAGGCAAGCTTTAGAAATATCATTGGGACAAGCTGTTCTGTGATATTTCATTGAAAATAGCACTTATAAAGCTGTTTGCATTATATTTTTGCCAACAGATGGACCCAGAACACGAAATTGGTGGTGTTCTCAACCTGGCTCGTTCTGAATGGGCCTCATAAAATCCAAGACAGGAGGACTTTGGATTCAATCAATGCCATTCATCATCTACTTAGATATAGAGTATGAATAAATCCTTTGAGCCAAATTGTAGGGAAAATGTGTCTTTTAAGACTATTTAGGTCTAAATAAGCAAGATTTGTTTAATATTTTTCCTTGTTTAACATAAGTTATTTTAGATCATTTTTATTATAATCTTCATCCTCATTGATAAAATGGCACTTAAATTTTGGATAGCCACTGCAGTTTGTAGAACACTTTAATATAAATTGTTTCCTATATCCTTCATCAATTCAAGTGCAATTTGTGTTTCAGTGTTTATAGATAACATCACTGGCACTCCAAAGGGGCTACATTGTCCAACTGATTTGGAGTTTCTTTTTTTTTACTTTAGTATATTTGCCTCTTCCAGTCCTGCTCAGAGGTTAAAAATATCCTCATGAGGTTGTATAATTTGACACATCTTTAGGAGTATGGAATATGCAGGTTCAGGGGCATTTAGGCACAGGTAACATTTGACATAGTGCCCCAATATGTGGAGAAGAAAAATGTTTTCAAAAATGTCGTCTTCTGCCAGGCACAGTGGCACACGGTTGTAATCCTAGCTACTTGGGAGGCTGAGGCAGAGAATCACCTTGAGCCCAGGAGTTCTAGACCAGTCTGGGTAACATAGTGACACCTTCATCTCATTACAAAATGTCCTCTTTTTCAAGGAAATTTGATGGGGTCTATTTGCTTCAAGATAAACCTCACTAAACCCAGATTTAGTTGCTATCTGTCATTTTCGTTGACACTGGTTCTCTCATATGAAGGTGTTTCTGGGGTTAATGTGTTTCTAGTGCATTTCCAGCATTTTAAAGCTATTTAAGTAAGACATTGTCCTATATATGTTAATAAAATTCATTATTAAATATATTTGTTTTTATACCAATGTAGATTCTCTAATGTAAATGCACTTGGTCATTCAATGAATGAAAAACAGATTCTTTTCTATAGATCCATGATCTGAATAACTGAGGCATTATTTCATAAATCCTTCTCTGCATATTCTAATTGAGTTTAGGTTCACCTGGTTATCTTTGAAGAAATCTAGAGGTAGAATTAAAGCCAGAAATTCCATCTTGACCCAATTTCTTGGTGCTGTCGTTACTTAAATGTTTATCTTAGTAACTGACTCCATCTTTCTTAAATGTTATAACAATGCTTTAAGGAGAAAAACAAATAAGTGAGAAAGTTAAGTAACTCAGGATGATGGTGTTTAAATTAGAACCAATGCAGCCTGTATTTATGTAATAGAACAATAACAGCTATATATCTATATATTTTCTTTCTCTATATATAATTGCAGAAAGAATATAACTTCAATTAGGCTACTCTTTCTTCCACCCTGGAGACATTGGTGCATGACTTATTTCTCCATATGAGTTATGACCTTCAGGGGGCTCCTCATTCATTGTAGAAAGGGAGTAGTATATTCACATGGAAATACTTATGAGAGAGTATTCAGGTAGGACATGAGGTTTCAGGAAAGGATTTGAAGACTAGAGGATGTGCATAGAGGATGGATGGATGGATAGAACAGGAGACTCCTGCTGTGTTCTGACAAATCACAGGTGTGTCAGGGATGGAAAATGGTTGAGAGCTACTGTTCCAAAGAAAAGATAATTATTGATGAACTTATATAAAAGCCTATATTTTAATCACAGGTTTAATACTCTAACATATTTGTTAATTCTGGTTTTCTCTCTGAAAATGCAGAAAGTGTGGAGTTAGATTGATTTATGGGTATTAAAGACCGTTCTAAAAATTTATTTATTAAAAATTAATAATATGATTGAAATGATAATTTCACTTTTAAAACTTGTGTTGAACTTTGAAAATAAAAATGTAAATGTGACCCTTATTCATGAATTTACAATTCTTTGACCATTAGCTGATGTGTTCAGTCTTTTATTGTGGGAAGACTGATATTGAGTAGGTGAGGTAACGGCAGAACTTTTATCTCATTCACTGAAAATAGATACTACTTAGATGTAGCAAATTGGTTCCTTTTCCTTTGCCTCTTGTATACCTTTATGTAGTTTATTTTCTTGTAACTCTACCTGTAAATGGAGAGCATCCATTGTAACGAAGGAGTCCTTGCTTTCAATATGAGATAGGGCTGATAACACATTGCATGTGTTTCTGCTTAGTTAATTACTTGGAAGCTGCCGGCTTCCCAGTGCTTTGTTGAGTTTGTTTTTATTCAGCATATGCATTAACTAAGTCACAGCTGTTAGTTCTGCATCCTGTGTTTGATCTTTTTCACCTTTGTTTCTTTCAGTTATTTCACGTCTTAAAATCCTCTAGATTGTGAAGCAATCTATTTCAAATTCAGAGTGACTGAAATGGTTATTACTCTTTTCTCTTTGTTTCTCTCCAGTATATTAACCCACAAGCCTGAATTTTTCTACTTACTTGTACTTAAATACTTGAAAAAAAAATCTTTGAAATATATATTAGGTAGGTCTATTGACATTCTAGTTATCTTCTTTTTACTGAATAGTTATATGTTACTTGTGTTGGCTTTGTTTTTAAAATAGTTCCTCGTGAAACATCTTGTTTTTCACAATTGAAGAATCAAATACACAGATCTTAAGTATATAGCTTGATGAACTTTAATTATTTACATAGGTATAACACCACTCAAAACAAAATATAGAACATTGCCATCACCCCAGAAAGTTTCCTCTTGCCCCTTTCTAATTAGTTGCCCTCCTTCCTGCCTTGGAGGCAAGAATGTTCAGATTTTTATCATCATGTATTAGGATTGGCTATTCTTGGACTTTATATAAATGGAATCCTATGGTGAGTATGTTTTCTGTGTGCGTATCACTGTTTGGGTTTCTTTCACTCAACATAATGGTTTGGAAATTAATCCATGTTGTTTCTTTCATGGTAAGTGGTTTACCATTGGATTAATATACTATGGTATATTACAATTTGTTCATTAATTCTCCTGTTGATTGATCCTTGCGTTGTTTCCCATTGTTTACCATTATGAGTGAATATGCTATGAATATACACATGTAAGTGTTTTTTATAAACATATGTTTTCATATAGATAAATAAGAATGGCATTGTTGGATCACAGGGTAGATGAATAGCTAACTTTATAAAAAGCTTCCCAACAGCTTTCCAAAAAAGTTGTTCCATTTTATAGTCACCAGTAGCAATGTGTGAGAATTTTCATTTCTCCACATTCTCGCCTTTTAAACTTTTTTATTTTAGCCATTCTTCTGGGTGTGAAATGATTTCTCATTATGGTTTTAATTTGCATTTTTTCTGGTGACTAATGATCATGACTACCTTTTTCTGTGGTTATTGCCAATTCTTAGATCTTCTTTTGTGAAGTATCTGCTCACCTCTTTTTTTTAGGGGTGTTCAGCTTTGTGATTGTTTATTTGTAGTAATTCTTTATAAATTCTTCTGTAACCCCACAAGATATGGGTCCTTTCTCAGGTGTATGCACTCTAAATATTTTCTCCTACTCTGTGATTTGCCTAAACATTTTCTCAAGTGCCTTTTGATGAGCAGAATATTTTAATTTTTATGTCAGATGTATCATTTTATTCTTCTATGGTTAGTGTTTTTGTGACTTGTCCCAGGTTGTAAATATATGCTCCCACTTTTTTCTAGAAGTTTTCTCGTTCTGGTTTTTATATTTAGGTCGATAATCCATCTCAGATTGCTTTGTGTATGGTGTGAGGTGGGGGTCAAGATTTAATTTTTGCTACAAGGAAAAAAATTGTTATTTACTGAGTTAATAATTTAGTATTATTTATTGCTTTCATATTTTAATTGTTTGTTGTTGGCATGTAGAAATGCAGTTGAGTTTTATATTACCATTTTAATTTTATTTAAATGCTAGAGTACTTGTTTGCTTTTTTAAAAAATAACTTCCATAGGATTCTTTTATGTCATCTTATAATAATGATAGTTTGACTTTTTTTTCTAATATTTGTGCCTTTTATTTCTTTTTCTTATTGCTGTGACTATAGTAAAATGATGCAATGAAGTGGTAAAACCAAGAATTATTGCCTTGTTCCCTATCTTTGGGGAAAGCAGACAATGTTACAGTGTTTCAACATTAACTACAATGTAGGCTATCAGTTTATTGCGTGTACTCTTGGTTCTGTTGATATGGCAGATTACATTGTTTTACTTTGGATGCTAATATAAGTAACACTTGGCTATAATGTTTTATACATTTTATGTAGTCTTTGGTGCAAGAGACACTTTGGATAAAGAATTAGCAGTAGATAGATGGATTAGGTCTAAGGGAGCCAAAGATGACTAATGATTTGAGCCTTGTTGATTGGGACTTTGGAATGCTACTAATAAGGATAGGAAAGAATTGAACAGATGTTTATTTTGATGAGGGAGAAGATGACATGATAAGTTTGGTTTTGTAGATTTACTGAACATGAAGCATGATATACAAATTGGAAATATTGGTATGGGGTTCTGGAGAGAGTTGAGGGCTTAAGGTAAAGATTTTATTCTCATTCGTAAAATTCAATGATGAAGAGAGATAGTACCAAAGACAGAATTCTGATAAATGTTTACACTAAAGGAGGATAATTATATTTTTGGAGTACCTAATATAATTTAATGTTCATGATTCTTTTTGGAATGGATATTTTCATTTTATAGGTGAGGAAGTTGAGAACCAGGAACTTAAGTGATTTCCTCACATGTACTTTAGAAAGAAGTCTTTAGCAAAAAAGAGAGAGAGAATCATTGAGAAAAATAAAAGAAGAAAGACAACTCTTACTGTGGATATAAAGAAAAAAAATTTTAAAGTGATTAGTCAACATTGTCAAAACTTCCAGGAAGATAGAGGAGAAGAGAGACCAAAATGTCACTTTATTTGGCAATTATGAGGGCAGAGACCTTCAAGAATGCAATTTCCTTCAGGTGAAGAATGTAGAAGCTTAAGATGAAAGGAATTGAAGAGTGGGAAAAGATACCCTGATTGTAGACTAATCTTTTTAGTAGTTTGATGGTAAAAGGAAATAAGGCAGTATGACAGCATGTTAAAGGATGAGCAGAGGTGGGGAAACAGTTTCTGGTTGCAGAGAATGAGAAAGAAGAGCCTAAAAGTTGACTGAAGAGACATGAATGATAGGGACTCAATTGTTAAATATTTTGTTAGGAGGTGTGTATACATCTAATTAATTCCAAAGTTCAAACAAACTAACATTAGCAGTTGACAGAGCACTGGATTCCTGGTCTGTGCTCTGGGTGGTGGTTTTAGCTAGATGGGTTTTTACACTCCTTTCCCTGTTTCATGATAGAAATCAAGTCTAAAATAGAAGGGGGCTCTTGAGAAGTGACCACGGGCAGAAAAAGAGGCTATTTTGGCACAATACCACAGACAAGTCATCTAAATGGGCTCAATATTGAACAGAGATTTTTAGCATAATGAGCATAAGAATATCCTAAGAAGTCAATCTGGAAAATTTGAAATTCTGTACTATCATCTGAATATTTGTGTTTTCCCCAAATTTCTATGTTGAATTCAAATCCCCAATGTAATAGTATTAAAAAGTGGGGCCTTTAGGAGAGGATTAGGTCAGATGGCAGAGCTCTCATGAATGGGATTAGTTCACTTATAAAAGAGGCCCATGGGAACTTGTTCACCCTTGCAACACATGAGGACACAGCAAGAACTCGGCAATCTGCAATCTGAAAGAGGACCTTCACCAGAACCCAACCAAGGTGGAAACCTGATCTTGGACTTCTCAACCTCCAGAACTGGGAGAGACCCCATAACTTTTTGGTATTTGTTAATAGCAGCCGGAAAAGACATTCCAATTGGCTTTAGATGTTCCTAGTACCATCCAAACCTCACCACTAACCCAAAACCTCATCCTAAATGGAATTCAATAGAATGAAATAACACCAGGCTGCATTCTTTTGCAGCTAAGGAGGGACCATAGCAAAAAGAAGCAAAGAGGCTGTAGAGGTAAAGAAAATAAGGAGAAAGGTCAAAGGCTCAGAGCTCTCAAGACACTAAAGGAGATGATTGGAGGAAAGATGAGTCATTTCTGAACACCTACTCATAATGGACCATGTTTAGATCAGGTACCTACTCAACCTGAAAGAAACATTTTGAATATTCTTCTGGACCTGTGTATGATTAATGAGCTAACAATAAAGCAGTTTAATAATAAGCCATAGCACCTCTCCCTGCCATTATTAACAGTTTAGAACTGGGGTTACAAAAAATTCTTGCCAAATCCAGAATAACATTTTTCTGGGCACTGTGGGGTTATAGAATACATATGCTAAATTTTAAAATTAGAAATGAGAGTGGGTATGTAAAAAACAGAGGCATATAACTTGGAAAGAGTACAGAATATTGTATTGGGTTGCAGCAAAAAATAGATAAGGAATAAAAAGAACTTCAAGGAGATAGTCTTTAAAAATATTTTTATTATTGAGTATTGAGTATTTTATTCCCATGATTGAGTATGTGTTTCATTTGTTTCTCACAAAAATTCTATCAGGTAGGTATATTTTTCCTTATTTTACTGATTGGGCCTGAGGCCACTGACTTACTGGAAGATCTCTGATTTCCTAACTTCAGTAGTTTTTCCATTAATGCTAATTAGCTCATTAGGTAGAAAATAATCGAGGTGGAATACTGATATTCTAGAAGGGTGAAGCTTCAGGAGAGAATAATAGTTTTGAAAAAGGAGGAAGAACAGAAACATAGATGGCAGTAGTATGTAGTCTGAAGGAAAGAGCCAAAGAAGACTGTATTCAGTAATTTCCAGACTTGCAACAAAAGCTGAGTGAGAAGAGAAGGCTAAAAACAGAAAGATAGACGTAATAGAAAATAATATTAAGTAAAACAAAGAGCGATTTGGAAAGGAAAAAAAATGAGAAAGAAGGCAACAGGACCCAACAGTCAACGTTGACAAATATGAATTTTTGAAGTAGTTTTGGACAAATATGAATTTCCTGGGAAGCTTTTTAAAAAAATACCTGAGTTCCACCCCTGACCAATTAAATCAGTCTGTCTGAGGGCAAATATTTTTAACCTGGTGTTCTTGGATAGGCTATGGGTGGTCTACACAATTCCTGGAATTATGTGCAAAATTTTGCTTGTAGGTGCCTCTTTAAAAGGAATTTAGTTCCAACCTTTCTTCTGTCACATGCACTCTGTATTACCCTTCTCACCCTCAGTTTTTCAGCAAAGTGAGAATGGTATTTGCCTTGCCTGCTTCTCAGGGGTGTAGTCAGACTCAAACCAGATAAAAGGTGCCATGGTGCTGTGTACATTGTAAAGCCCTGTAGTGGCCCAACTTGTTATTATAATGGTGATTAGATCATGTTTGCCTACAATTGAAATAAGACCTCTGAGAAGTAATGTTCTAACTCTCTGTGTCATCCCCAAGTAGCTCTGATCATGGCAACTGTGGATTTTAGAAAATGTATTTGGGAACCTTTTAAAGTTCCCTAAATCATTGGAACCTACTTAAGAAGATGTTGGCTACATATGGGGTGATACTCACCTTCAAGCATCTCATTCTTTAGATGCCTCTGCTTAAGTGAGCCACAGGAAGTATAAACTCCTGGAATTTGGGATATGGGAGGAGTCAGTGAGGATAAATGGCACAGTACAGGGTCAGGCTGACCTAATACAGGGGAGGGAAAAGCCGGAATCCAGAAAACAACCACTGTACATTGTATCTTCCATTGATGATTAAAATCACCTTCAATCCATATAGTGGTCATGCCAATTATATGCCAGTGGAATATTATTCATCCTCATTTCTATTCATTTGATGAAATTCCAGGTGAGTTTATCCTACAGGAATATGGAGAATTTTTGTTATTTGGCACTTTCTACAAGTAAAAAAATTTTTTCATCTTTTTTCCTAAACATGAAATGTAATTTTTTATACTTTGTGCCCACATTGCCAGTAATAGCAAGACTGTATTAATATTGTGTTTTCCTTTTGTGTTATTCAGGGGTTTTTCTCCCACATGCATAAAATTCTCAGTGGGTGTCATTGTTTGGCTCAGCTTTTTCCCCTAGAGCATGTCTAGACAGCCTGAATGAGAAAGCATAGATGCACATGTACCCCTGGCACCTAAAATAAAAATAGAAGAAGAGAAACAAAAGAAAATTGAGTTTAGACATTAACTTGAAGTTTTGGAAGAGATGCAAATGAATCATTATAAAGATGAGGAAATATTGATTAAATAGACATTTAATATAAAAGTATTTTCAAATCACATGAGTGGCTAAGAATAGATGTGCTATAAGAATAATGAAAATAAATGTGGTTATTAAAATGGTAATAAATAAATAAAAATATGTTCAAGGATGTTCATTATTGAAATATTTATTGGAAACCTTAATGCCTATTAGTAAGGATAACTTGTTAAATAAGCCATAGTATGTTCATCAAAAATGAAATACATCCTTTGTAGATATATATGTATTGGTCTGTAAAGCTGGTTAAATTTATTGTGTAATTAAATAAAAGAATGCATAGAAAGAAAAAATATTCTGGGAAAAAATTTCCTTGCAAAATAAAATGATCAGAAAGTAGAGTTGGCATTATTGCTTTAAATATCTTAAATGGCAGACTAGAATTTGAAATATAGTCTATCCTTCCCTTTAGGTCACTTATTATTGACAGCACAGGGTGCAGTCAATTACATCTTCCTCTAAGTTCAAGGAAATCTGTTTGACTATACAATGAATAGTATACCTACTGTATGAATCTGAACCTGATCATTCCAACTTCCTAATCTTGCCTGTTCTAAAATTCTGGAATTTAGCTGTGAAAGTACCACAAAGGACATCATTAATTAATTTATTTATTTATTCAATAAACACAGTTGAGTGCCTACCATATGCTGGGCATCTTAAGCGGTGATTTGAGTATGAAAATGACTAAAATATGGATTCTATCCTAAAATAACTTTTAACCAACCAAAGGAGACTGTGCTCTAAATAGAGAACTTTTGGAATTTCACTGATGGAGTTCATTGATCCAATGCCCCAAGGATCATCCTCAGACCTATTCTCAGTCTACTTTCACTCCCCATGTGTTCTCATCCAGTTCCAGAGCTTTCAATGCTGTTTATGTGCTGATTATTCCTAAATTTGTATCTCCAGGCCTGCCCACTTCCCTGAACTCCAGGCTCATGTCCAGCAGGCTACCCTAAATCTCAATGGGATGTCTTAAACTTAACTTATATAGCACTGCAGTTTGCATTTCAGTTAATAGCAGCTCAGGCTTAAAAACTTGACCCCATCCTTGATTTCTTTCTTTCTCTCACACCTCAGATCCATTCCATCAAAAAAATCCTCTAGGCCAGCAGTTCTCAATGTGTGGTTCAGGACCTCTTAGCAGGCTTCAAAACCTTTTCAAAGGTCTGTGAGGTCAAAAATATTTCCATAATAATACAAAGACATTTTGCCTTGTTCTGCTTTTATTTGTACATGAGTTCTAAATGGAGATTTCCAGAAGCTATATGGTAAGTGATGACATCATCATACCTCTGATGGCTAATGGAATGCGCACTTGTGTATTATGCTTAAAGAATTTTTATTTTTAGTTTTTATATAAATATTAACAGATATGACTCTCATGAACAAAAAATCTTCAGTGTTATTAATTTTTAAGGGCATCAAGGGATCTTGAGACCAAAAAGTTCAAAAATCAGTCCTCTAACTTTTCTTTAAAAATATATCTTGAATCTTACCATCTGTCATCTGTCACTATTGTATGAGCCACTAACATCTCTGGCCTAGACCTTTGAAAAAGCTTCATATCTTGTTACTGGCATTGATTATTGTGCTCTTGTCCTTTTGTAACTTGGCCACATATATAAATCAGATCACGTTATTCACCTGCTCAACCTTCCAATGTCTTCCCATCTCACTGAAAGTAAAGAAGCATGACATCCAATATAATCTGACTCTCTAAAACCTCTTAACCCATCTCCTACCGTTCTCCACGTTGTTTAATTTACACTAGCCATGTCATCTTCCCAACAGTACCTTAGATTAGCCAAACAGCTCCTGCCTTAGGTTCTTTGTACTTATCATTGAATTGTCTGGAAAGCCCTTCTCCCAGAGACTTAACACTGCTAATTATCATCCTTCCTTCAGGTCATTATTCAAATACTACCTTATGAGAGATGCCCTTTTTGACCATTGAATATAAAGTAGCTACCACTTTATTCTCTGTCTCTGTTATGCTATTTTCCTTTATAACAATTTTCACTCCCGAACTAACATTATGCGTTGATTTGTTCAGTGTCTTTCTTCCCACCTGGAATGGATATGCCATGAGAATAAGAACTTCTTTCCTTTATTTCTTTCTACCTTCCTTCCTTCCATCCCTCTCTTTTCCTCCCTCCTTCCTTCCTTGTTTTATAAAGTGCTCAATTTCGGCACTGAGAACAGTACCTGGTTCACAACTGGCTGTCAATAAGTACCACCTGAATTAATTAAGAATAGTTGGGGAAAGGGCAGTGAAGACTATTCCAGAGAGGAAATGCTCAAAGTGACCTTTATGTTTGAATAGGCATTAGATAGGTGAAGTCTTAGTTCACTTTGTGTCGCTATAATGGAACACCTGAGGTTGGGAGTTCCATTATATGGAACATAAAATGAACTAAGAAAAGAGGCTTATTTAACTCACACTTCTGCAGGCTGGGAAGTACAAGAAGCATCGTGTTGACATCTGCCCAGCTGCTGGTGATACATCACAACATGGCAGAAGGTCAAAGGGAAAGTGAAAACATGTGAAGAGGCAAAACTCCAGTGGTGTCTGGCTTTATAACAAATACCTCTTATGGGAATTACTCCATACCCATGAGAATTAATCCAGTCTTGGCAGACTTGGAACTGTCAGTATTGCTAGAACAGAACCAAGCCATTCATGAGAGATCTGTCCTCTTGACCCAAATACCCTCTACTAGGCCCCACCTGCCAACACGGCCACATTGGGAATCAAATTTCAATCTGAATTTTGGTGGGGACAAACTAAGCCATATCCATATCGTAGCAGGCAGATACATAGTCCAGGGAGAAGAATAGGATAAGCAAGGGATTTAGAATCTTTTTACTTAAGTGCTGTGCTGATTTACTTAGGGCATTCTAATAATTAGGAAGTCCCAACCAGATATTCTGCCACCTTCCTCTTAGTCAGAATGTCCTAATATCTATGGATTACTCATTCTGTAAGTGATGTTCTTATATAAAAAGTTTCCATTGTCAAATATATTGGGGAAATACAGGGTTAAATAATTTCTTCACTGAATGATTTTTCAGAGCCTTCTTTCGCTACCACCCATGTAAACCCATTAATATATTTCACAACTAGTGATGCACAAAACTTAATTTGAAAAACATGATCTAGGGCATTTCATAGGCCTCTTTATAGCTGACCCTAACAATTCCATTCTGGTTTGATTTTCCACTCATCTTGCACAAATTCACACTGTTGAGAAAGGGAACACCCAAACTCAGCAATAAATATGCCATTTATTTATGATGTTACAGAGTGGTATCTACACACTGTCTACTTTAATCCTTTGAGAAACCACGTGAGATGGATAAGACCATTATGATTTCTGTTTTATCTGTGAGGAAAGGAAAAATAAGTATCTTTAGATTATGTCATGTTGAAGAACAAGTTTTAAATCAATGGTGCTAAATGCCTAAAATGGAAAAACAAATAATTAGAAGGACCTATATTTTCGCCTTTAAGACAGTATTATTTTAGCATCATTTTATTTTACATTAATTGAACTCAATTCAATAAGTGAGTATTAAGCACTATATTAGACACTGGGAGGAATAAACAGAGTTTTATAATTGTTTTGAATTTAGGAAACAAATTAACCACACTGCTTGCTTTCTCTCCCAGATTCAGAACCAACTGAGGTATGGAATCCAAGAGTTAGACAAATTGAAACCAAATGCCATACTTTTTATTATCATCATGAGAACTGATTGGACAATGTGATTCTAGATATGTTACTGAATATGCTTGCTGTAACTTCACTCTTGGATTAGACACACATCCTAACCCAGTCACTGGCACAGCTAGCCAACCTACAAGGTGATTTTACTACAGAAGAGCAGAGAACATATTTATTATGTCTCTGAAGAGGAGAAACATGGAAGAGGCAATAATAAGCATGCTTAGTTCCTTCCCCAATGTCGTTTTACAGCTCAGTAACTCTAATTCCTTAGGGGATAAATTAATAAGGAGTCGGAGAATAGGTGGAGGATGTTACTCTAATGGTATTCCCTTCTTGTGGAAACATGAAGCCAGAGAATAGAAGTTCATCCTAACAATAAGCCAATAACTTGTATTTCATTTGGTCAAGTAACGTACAGTGTTTGGAAGATAAGACTCACTACACTTACTTGCCAGACATCAAAATCTTCATCTTTCTCCAAAAATCTGCTCTTCCTTCCTTATATCAATTAACTGTACCACCTAGACTCCTCCTCTACTTCTCTTTCTGTATCAAATTAGCCACCAAAGCATGTCACTTCTGTTTCCTATCTTTCTAAGCTTTTCTCTTCTACTCCCACTGTACCTGTCTTAATTCTTTTGACTTGATTACTGAAATAGCTCCCATCATGGCTTCCTTGATGTCATCTCTTCTACTTCTAATTTATCTTCTATATTTATCACAGAGTGATCTTCATGGATTTTAAAATGATTATTATTTTATATTTTGAAACAATCACAAAATTGCAGAGAAGTTGGAAACACAATGCAAAGATCTTTTTTTTCTAAAGATCTTTTTTTTTTTTTCCTGGAACTATTTGTGAGTAAGTTGCTGTTCTAATGCCTCATTAGCACTGGTGTGTTATTTTTTATTTTTATTTTTTATTTTTTTTGAGACGGAGTCTTGCTCTGTCGCCCAGGCTGGAGTGCAGTGACACGATCTTGGCTCACTGCAAGCTTCGCCTCCCGGGTTCACGTCATTCTCCTGCCTCAGCTGCCCGAGTAGCTGGGACCACAGGCGCCTGCCACCACGCCCGGCTAATTTTTTGTATTTTTTAGTAGAGACAGGGTTTCACCGTGTTAGCCAGGATGGTCTCAATCTCCTGACCTCGTGATCCACCCGCCTTGGCCTCCCAGAGTGCTGGGATTACAGGCGTGAGCCACCGCGCCCGGCCCCATGTTATTTCTTACAAACAAGGATATTTATCTATAACCAGAACACAAACATCAAAATCAGATAATGAATTGTGATATATTACTACCATTTAACCTTAAGACTCCATTCAAACTTCACCAATTGTCCTAATAATATGTTTTATGGTAAAAGTATCTAGTTTAGAATCATACATTCTTCTAGTTTTCATTCCTGTTCAATCTCATTTGATCTGGAATAATTCTTCAGTCTTTTCTTGACTTTAAAAGCAATCACAAATTTGAATATAACAGGTCAGCTATTTTGTGTAATGTTCCTCAATTTGGATTGTCTGATATTTCCTTATAATTAGATTCAGGGTATGTATCTTTGTCAGAAAAACCCAGAGATGACTCTGTTTTTCTTATTGCATCCTATCAGCTGGTGCATGATTTTGATTTGTGATAATGATTTTTCAAATGATGTTCACCTTGGTCACTTGATTAAGGTGGTTTCTTTCAGACTTCTCCATTGTAAGGTTACTCTTTCTCTTCGTTTGTTTGTTTGTTTGTTTGTTTGTTTCTCTTCTGAAATGTGTATACATTTGTGGGGAGGTACTTTAAAACTATGTGAATATCCCATTCCTCACAAAACGTTCAATTTACTTGTGTATTTGTTTATACTTGCAGAGACCCATGTTTCCTATTTTATTGAGTTAGTTATACTCCATTATTATTATTATTGGTTTTGATATTTGAATTATTTAGAGTTTTGCCAAAGGGAGTCCTCCTGTGTCCTTTTGACTTATCTCCATCACTCTTTGAGCATTCCTTACTTTCTGGAACATCGGGATTTCTAGGCTTATCTCATATATGATTTTCCAGTCCTAGATGTGGAATCAGCTATTTCTCTAAGAAGCTTTACTTCCTCTTAGTATAAAATGGTAGTTTAATGCCAAGATTTAGGCACTACGTATATTAATTGCTACTGGGATGTCACTGTTCTCAGACTCTCTCAGTGGGCAGGGCTAGAGAATATTTGTATATAAGCATAGTACGTACATATACGTATGCACGTGGGTCTGGGTATGTATACACAAATATACACATGCACAGGAACATCTATATTTCTGTGTCCATCCATCTCAACATATATTGAAAGCCATGAGTTTACAGAAGTAATGTGATTTCGATCTAAACAACACATAATTCATTTTTATATTTGTAGTTCTATTCTCTGACAGTCAGAAACCTAGCTTCCTTTATTCATAGTGTATTTTGTTATTATATCAGGTCCTGATTCTCATTTAGGGTCATCTCCAAATGTGGACACTGGCCTCATCCCACTTGGGCTCTGATACCGCATGCCAGTAAAGCTCCACATGGACACCTCCTGCTCAGGGCATGGCACACACACATCCACCCTGCTCCTTACTTTGTGTATGCTCTGATTCCTCATGCCTGGTTGGCCCCTGATGGATACCCTTCTCACCTTTACAGTGCCTTGACTCTACCCTGGCTGCCCTCCACATGTGGACACCTCCTCACACTGCCAGTAGGAGGATACCCTACAAGGATACCCTACTCACCCAATGCCAGACTCCTTCCCATGTGAGGAGAGTGATCTTATTACATTGTCAACATGATTATGTTATTCACTTTTATAACATCCTTTAGGATTTCCTACCTTCATGACAACCTCTAAACTTCTTACTCGATAAGGCATAAAAGTCCATAAATGTTCTTGCACTGGGCTCCTGTTTATCACCAGCAATGCCAACATGCAATCATCCCAAATTCCTGCAACTCTCCAAAGGAGACTTGTTCTTGCACCCTTTCCGATACAGTCTAGAATGCATTTCCCTCTTTTTCTCTACCTGGTTAACTTCTGTTCTTTCTTTTAGGTAGGATCCAAGCACCAGCTAGCATAACCCTTTCTCACCCCATCTTCACTGAGATGCCCTTATTCATTCATCCGTTTTACTCATATTTGCTAAGTGTGCTCTATTTACCAGGCTTCATCATAGTACAGGTAATAACAGTGAGCAAGACAAAAGAGTTCACTGTCCTCAAGGAGCCTCTATTCAAGAGGAGGTAAATATTCAATGATCAAGTGAACAATAAATAGAGAATATAACTTCAGATTGTGATCAGGGCTGTAAATTAACTACACAGAGTCAAACAGTATTTGGAGGAGGAGTCACTACTTGGAATCAGAGAAGGCCTCTCTGAAGAGGTGGTATTCGAGCTGGAACATGAATGAGGAGAAACAGTTAGCCATGAAAAGAGTCAGAGGAAGAATGTTCCAGGCAGGGAAATGAAATAGCAATACAAAGACCCAGATGAAGACATGAACTTGGAGCAGAGGAACAGACAGAAGGCATGCATGACTGGAGCTCAGTGTGAGGGCAAAGTGCTGTGAGATGAAACCAGAGAAGACAGAGAGCCAATGAGGTCATGGTAAGAAGTGTAGATTTTACTCCAAGTGCAATTAGAAGCCACTGAAGGGTGTTAAGCAAGAATGTGATGTGATTTGATCTACATTTTTAAAAGATCACTCTGGCTAGAGAATACCTTATGGAGGGAAAAATAGGGGAAACAATTAGGACGTTTTGTAGCTGTCCAAGAGAACATGTACAGTTATTTGGATTGGTGGGTAAATCCGAAGTATAGGGAAATGAGTGGTTTTAGAACATGTTTTCAAAGTAGAATGAATAATATTTACCATAGAGTTGAATTTAGGAGATACAGGTTACGAATCAAGCATGTCCAGATTTATGGCTTGAGTCACTGTGAAAAATCACGATGCCATTTACTGAAATGGTGAGATCTAGGCAAAAATCAGTGATTTTCATTGTGTTTGTTTTGATGTTGCTGGAACTGGGGAGCAAGGATCAAATGTCTGTTTGGTTTGTATAAGTTTTAGATACCCTCTAGATATAATGTAGATAGTTAAATATAAGGGTCTCTAGCCCTTCTGCTATGCTTTCTTAGAATTATGTGTACTTTCACATAATTTTATATGTGTATTTTAAGAGTCTACTTATGCATCAAAGAAGATGGAAAAATTTTCTGGAAAGTATATTAATTACATTACTATTTAAAAAGCAGAAATTGCAAATAATCTCTTACTAGTCTGTGAAATTTCTCTTCTTGGATTCTTGCTTTAGCCAAGAACTTGACAATAAATATATGCTAAATGGACACAGGAATAACTGATATAATTTGACATGAATTCTTAGAACAGTTGTATGAGACAGCAAGCAATAAATGCTAAATTGAATTGAGTCAAGTACCAAATCATATTACTATTTAAGATAATTTTTCTCAAAAATATTTTTTGAATATCAGAAAGATCCAAAAGTATTTTATATCTTCTATTAATTTCCATTTAAAAAAACAGAGATATCAACACAAACGGATATCTACATAATAATTGCAATTATACATGAAATAATAAATTAAGTGGGTCATTAAGTTAGTCAAAATATGTGAGGAAAAAGACTATTTCAAAAAAGTTAAATTACATAAACAGACATTAGGCAATGCACTCTAATGAAATATTGACGGTGATTAATAACAACTCTGAGAGACACATTTTCTTATCTTCTCATCTTTACACTTCACTTTCTTCTGTCACAACAGTTACAAATGATTAGCTCAGCAGTCATTTCTCTATTAACTAACAAAATGTATGAAAAGATAGAGACACACACTGTCAATATTTCGAACATAATCTTACAGATACAAACATTTACTTAACACAAAAGTTGTGAAAGTAATACCAAAGGAAAAGATAAATAGCCTTGACTTCATAGAAATTAAGTTGCCTTGCATCAAAAAAACTTTATTAAAATAGAAAACAAGTAACTAATGCTATAGAGATAAATATAAACAGTGAAACTGTTAAAATTTTAATATGCAAAGAGCTCTTAGAAGGCCACAAAGAAGACTAACACATCCACAGAGGAAAATGGACAAACAATATAAATACCCAATTTAAGAAAGAAAAAGAATAATAATAAATAAAAGGAAAAATGATTAATGGCGCTGAATATCAAGGAAATGCACAATAAAGTTATAACATAACCTAAGAAGTAGTTAAAACTTTTTAAAAACAAAAATATATCCTGTGCTTAGCAAATGCATGGTAAATTCATGGTGATGCAGGCACAGACTGATAGTCTTGTAGAACAATGGTGGAAATGTTTCTATACATTTTCTTGGTAATGTGAATCAAGAATCTTGAAAAACATACTACTTTTCGTCTAGTACTTTCTTGTCTGTACCAATGAAATGCCCAGAAAGAGGAAACAATTCTGTAAAATAATTCATTGTACTACTATTTATAACAGAAAAGAATTAGAATAAAAATTTTTGTTTGAATGGAAGATAGAATATTAAAAATATTAAAAATTATTTGAAAGCTAATTTAATCATATGAATAACTTAATTATATGGTAACTATAAAAATGTTAACTGTTAACTACAAAATAAACTGAATATAAATATACACAGATTATTTGCAAATTTGTAATATGTACAACTGTGGGTGTGTGTTTATATATTGTTAAAAGAAAAACTTTAGCCGAATTAAATTGAAAGGAATTTAATTGAGCAATGAATGACTTGTGAACCGGGCAGCCCCCAGAATCACAGCAGATTCAGAGACTCCAGGGGTGCCTCGTGGTCAGAACTAATTTATAGACATAAAAAGGAAAGTGAGGTACAGAAAAGAACTTAGAAGTGAGGTTCAGAAACGGCTGGTTACAGGTTGGCTTTTGCCTTAATTGAACCCTGTTTGAACACTTAGCAGTCTATGAGTGGTTGAGGTATGGCTGCTGTGATTGGCCAAGACTCAGCTATTGTTACAGGCACATACTCCTAAGTTAGGTTTTCATCTTGTCTGCCTGTTAAGCTAGGTTATGGTTCATCCACAAGGATTCAAATATGGAAGTATGGAGTCCTTCTCAGGCCATATTTAGTTTGCTTTAACTAGACAGACAGACAGACAGACAGATAGATGACAGATAGATAGATAGACAAGTTAAAATTTTCCTTATGGGTGTGTGTGTGTATGTGTGTGTGTGTGTGTGTGTGTGTTTCTGCTACCTGTACAGGAGGAAAAAATTAAATAAAATAGTACACATAAAATCCAGATTGTTTCTCAAAGTGATAGTCTATTTTTTTCAAACCTGTCTATTTACTTCATAGCTTTTAAGCCTAGCTAAGCACAGGTTTGACCACCATTGCTTGGTCAACTTAAAGCCATCAAACTGTATGACCAGGTTTCTGTTTATTTCTGGAGTTAATTCTTACTTCTTGATCTCTTCTAGTCTATATTCCAAACCTAGATTTATTTTACTTCCTCAAAAGCAGCATGCTCTTTCAAAACATACGCTTCTGCCTGGAACATTGCTCTGAATCTTTCAATCCTTCATGGCCTAATCCTTGGACTCCACTGAGATAAAAAGCATAGGAATAAATAGGATTTTTATATTGATAAAGTACATAATCCATAATAACTATATAATAATCACACATCGTATTTCCCTACTTATTATATTACACTGAAATAAATGCAAAAGCATTAACTCATTTATATATGGATATATATGTATATGTGCAAGAGTAAATAGTGAGAGACTAATAAATTGTTTCATTTATTTTCAGGTAAAATAGAAAAAAGCCTAAGTCGAGAAGTTAATCAATTCATAATCTTTTTAAAAAATTTAACCCTCAAGTTCAGAGGTACATGTGCAGGTTTGTTATATAGGTAAACTTGTGTCGGGGTGGGGGGGTTATACAGATTATTTCATCACCCAGGTTAAGCCTAGTACCCATTAGCTATTTTTCCTGATCCTCTCCCTCCTCCCACCCTCCACCCTCCAATAGGTCCCAGTGTGTGTTATTCTCTTCTATGTGTTCACATGTTCTCACCATTTAGCTCCCACTTATAAGTGAGAACATGTGGTGTTTGGTTTTCTGTTCCTGCATTAGTTTGCTAAGGATAATGACCTCCAGCTCCATCCATGTTCCTGCAAAGGACATGATCTCATTCCTTTTTTTTTCTGTTGCATAATATTCCATGGTGTATATGTACCACACTTTTTAAATCCAGTCTACCAATGACAGGCATTTATGTTGATCCCATGTCTTTGTTATGGTGAATAGTGCTGCAGTGAACGTGCAAGTGCATGTGTCTTTATGATAGAAAGATTTATATTCTTTTGGGTACATACCCAGTAATGCGATTGCTGGGTTGAAAGGTATTTCTGTTTTTAGGTCTTTGAGGAATTGCCACACTCTCTTCCACAATAATGGAACTAATTTACACTCCCACCAACAGTGTATGAGTGTTCCTTTTTCTCCACAACCTCGCCAACATCTGTTATTTTTTGAGTTTGTAATATTAGTCATTCTGACTGGTGTGAGGTGATATCTCATTGTGGTTTTGATTTGCATTTCTCTAATGATCAGTGATGTTGAATTTTTTCATAATCTTATTTTAATGTTATAAATTCATAGTTCTCAATCTCTTCTGGGCCCTTAACACTACTCAGCAGACCTAAATTTCTCCAGTTAGCTTGCATGCCAACTTTCCTAATGACTTTTGAATTTTACTCTTCACAGATACCTGATTTTCCTCCTAGTCTACTCAGATAATTTAATCCTCACTTTCCAGAGAAACTGGAAGTCATCAACAAGGAATTACCTCAATACTTTGCCAAAAAATGTTTAAAACCTTTCTGAACCTCTTCATTTCTTTCTCCATCCTATTAAACTGAAGGCATTCCTCTGCCTCTCTAAACATCAAACTTTTCACACATTCTCTAAATTCCACCCTTACCTCCTTTGTAGGAAATTTTTACTCTCAATTCCTTTTTGTTCTTATCTCTTTAATATATCTCTTTTTACCACCTCATTTCCATCAGCATTTTAATGTACTCAAGTCAATGCCATCATAGAATAGTATCTCCCATAGCTATGCAAATTTTATTCGATTTCACAAACTTCTGGAAAGATGTGCCCATTCTCTCTCTTCTTCTTCCTTTTTGTATCCCGAACACATCAACCACCTTTTAGTTCCTTACATGTGCTGTCTGTATCTTTTCCTGCTGTAAACATCAGGATTACGGCATTTCATGTTCCTTCTGACTTGGACACTTCATTTTAACCCGCTCACACTGCTTTCACTTAGCTAATTTCTACATCTCCTTCAGGTGGCAGCTGAAAGATTACTTCCTTAAAGAAGCTTCTCTTTACACTCCAAATTAGGTTAGATCCCTGGTTATATGTCTTCATAGGAAGTTCTATTTCTTCATAGGACTTTTCACCTTCCTCTTTCATAGCTTTCTCACTAAAATATGAGGTGCTTGAGGGAAAGAATGGCATCTATCTTTTAGTTAATATTGGATAGTGCTGGTTATTTCTCTTAAATCTGGTAAGTGGAGAAGATGACAGAGTCATGAATGAGCAGTCCCATCAAGAAGAATTATTTTGTGCTGTCTTATCTGTGTTTGGTGATGCCATTGCACCAGGGCACATTAACATCCATCTTTATGTTTTGCTTGGTGTGTTAGGACATTCTTGCATTGCTCTAAAGAAATGCCTGCTTTGCTGGGTAATTTATAAAGAAAACAGATTTAATTGGCTCACGGTTCTGCAGGCTGTGCAAGCATGGCTCCACCGTCTACTTGGCTTCTGGGGAGGCCTAAGGGAGCATTTACTCATGGCAGAAGTTGTGAAGTGCAAGCAGGCACATCACATGGCAAAAGCAGGAGCAAGAGAGAGAGTGGGGTTGGTGGGGAGGTGCCACACACTTAAACAACCAGATCTTGTGAAAACATTGCCACGAGGACAGCACCAAGACATGAAGGATTTGCCCCATTGACCCAGTCACCTCCCACCAAGCCCCACCTCCAACACTGAGGATTACAGTTCAGTGTGAGATTTGATGGGGACATATATTCAAACTATATCACTTGGGTTTGTTTCTAAAGCAAAATATGTCTAATGACTAACTTCTTTCTCAGAAGCTGAAGTCTGATGTTTCCTCTTCAAGCTCCTAACAGCCTCTTAACTTTCTGCTCCTGTAAACAAGTCACCACAGGGGCTCTTTAACCTCCTAATGCCATGCTTTCTAAAAAGGCTTATTGTGATTAATTGGAGTGTATCTTCTCTTCTTTTTCCCCCTTCTTTGTGGTCCCTCATTGCCATGAGCCCTCACTCCTCCAAATCAGAGATGGTGGGCTATTTAGAGAGGTTCTACCAGGGTCTCTGCCACTTATTTCCCATCAGAGACGCCCCCGGAAGGTTTCTACTTAGAGCTCTTACTGCAATTTCCAGGGCAGCTCTCTTAAACACTGATAAAATAAGTCTGTGTGCTGTATTTTCTTCCGAACCTATTGATTTCCTCTTTTCCTTCAACCTTCACCTCTGTAAATTGTGTCAGGGAGATTCTGCTGGACTGTTCATGTAATTTGGTGATTCTGCCATTTATTAGGAGGGCTGCCTTATGATTTAACTCATCAATGTCTTCTTTCAGTTAGATCCTACTTATACTAAAATATTACAGTGGGAGAAGAAGATGAATACTTATCAATCCTTTACTAATTTAGGCCTTATTCTAGTCTTTCATTTACATTATCTCAATTAATCCAGACAATAATTCTGTGGGGAGGCTTATATAATCCTCATTTTGTGAATGCAAATACTAAACTGTAAATACCGACATTAGGATCTGAATCCAATTCTACTTTGCTGCAAATCCTATTTTGTCTCCCAAATATGTGTTAATAAGTTTAACCCATAGGAATTAGTTAGAAACATAAAGGTACTTTTTAATTGAGGATACCAATTTTTTCATTGATATGAAGATGAAGAAAGGAGTTTTAGAATTAGAGACTATTTCAGAACTTAATGATTTTGTTTCCTTGAGGGAAATCCAAATGAAATTTACATACAAATCATAACAATTCTTGATTATTTAGAAGCTTATTACTGAGTTTATGTATTTTTTAACACTTGCTTTATATACTTATACCCCTTCATATCAACCTTTTGAATATTCCTTTGCCAGGAATGAGTCAGGAAAAAAAGACAAACTTTTATTAATGGGCATTTTTATAACTGTTTTAGAAAAATAGCAGAAAAGGAGTTGAACTTGTTAGCTAAAATTAATTGTAATACTTATCTTCACTTTAAAACTTATTGCTATCATATTATGACACAAATTTTTATGACCCTGATTATATTTTACTCCAGGGGAAGTGCTATGTGCTTATTCTTAAAACTTCACACCATCTTAAATTTATTCACAGAAGTACTTATATTGTCACATCTTTCTGGTTTAAACCTTAACTTTATTCTACCTACTAACATATTTATTACTTTGTGATAACCCTCGTGGTAAATGCTTTTACAGATACTCTGGGGAAAATATTCTTTTAAACTATCATTAAGCTAAAAAAGTTCTGTTATTTTTATTGTATAGGAAGACATTTTGGGTAATTATAGCAAAAAGACAGAATGATGTAATGGAAAGTGTATTCATGGCTTTTAAGTGTTGAGAGAGCTGGATTCTAAAGCTGTCCAATAGTTACTGAGTATCTTTGACACTCAGTTTCCCTGTCTGCCCATCTGTGGAGTTTTTGTAGGATTTAGATGAAAAAAAGGTAGGATACCTGAAACAGAATGTATTTCATGGGCACTATTACTATAATAGTAAAGAGATGACTTAAGAATTAGAAAGCAGGCTGGGTGTGCTGGCTCATGCCTGAAATCCCAGCATTTTGGGAGGTCAAGACAGGAACATCACTTGAGGCCAGGAATTTGAGACCAACCTGGCAACATAGCCAGACCATATATCTACAAAGAGTTTTAAAAAATTAGTTGGACACGGTGGTGTGTGCCTGTATTGCTAACTACTCAGGGGGCTAAGGTGGGAGGATCGCTTGAGCCCAGGAGATTGAGGCTGCAGTAAGATATGATTTTACCACTGGACTCTAGCCTGGGGGATAGAGTGAGACCCTATCTCTAAAAACAAGAATTAGAAAGCAGAATGACCTTTGAGAAGTTAAAAACCAAAAGCAATGCCCACTCTTATTTGTAAAAATTTTCTTTCACGTATACAGCAATATAAGCTTTTATTAATATTTTGGCTGCTAGGAACATATCTTCTGTAAATCATTATATTGTTATTTCCTACTGTTCTTAAAGTGAAACTGAGAGAAAAAAGAAAGACACAAATTACCTATATCAGGAATAAAATAGGGATGTCACTACAGACCCTGAAGACATCAAAAGGATAATAAAGGAATATTACAAACTATTCTACATACATAAATTTGACAACTTAGCTAAAATGGATCAATTATTAAAACAAACTACCACAATTTACCCAATATGTAATACATAATGTGAATAGCCCTACAACTATTAATGAAATGGAATTCATAATCAAAAAAGCTTTCAAAAAATAAATCTCCAAGCTCACATTGTTTTGTTGGAGAATTATAACAACATTTAAAGAAGAATTAACACTAACTCTAAACAATCTTGTCTTGAAAAAAGAAAATGGGGGAATGTTTTCTAATTCATTTTATGACCTAGTATTCCCAATTCCACATACACCCACACCCCAGAGCAATATTCCTCATGAATATAGACAAAAAATTCCTAACAAAATATTAGCAAATAGTATTCAGAAATGTATTTTTAAAATTATATACAATTACAAAGTGAGGTTTATTTTAGGGATGCATAACTCATTCAATATTTGAAATCAATAAAGAAGAAAATCCACATAATGATATTAATTGATACACAGAAAGCATTCAACAAAATTCAACACCCATTCATGTTGTTTTGTTTTTTAAGACCTCTTAAAAGAATAGAAATTGAGGGGAATTTTCTCAACTTGATGAAGAGCATCTATAAAAAATCTACAGCTAACATTATACTTAATGGTAAAAACATGAAGACTTTCTTTCTAAGATTAGGAACAAAGCAAGGATGTCCACTGTGCTCACCACTGTCACTCAACATAGTGCTGGAAGCTCTAACCTGTGCCAAGAAGAAAAACAAAAAAATAAAAGGCATACAGATTTGGAAAGGAAAACTGAAACTTCCTATTTGCAGATGACATGATTGTCTTCGTAGAAATCCGAAGCAAGCTAAAAAACAAAACAAAACAAAACAAAAACAGCACTCCTGTGACTAATAAGTGAGCTCAACAAGGTCACGGGATGCAAGATACACATAAAAAAATTGTATTTCTGTGAACTAGTTATGAACATATATACACAGAAATTAAAAATACAAGGTCATTTATAATCACAAATACAAAAAGAAAAAATAATAATTAGATATAAATCTAACACTTTTATCCAAATCCCTCATTTTATGTTTTGGATGTCAAAATTTACATCATTTTGTAATTTGTATCCCCTGATTATTTTATTTATAGTTGTTTTAATAGATGTCTATTAACCATTGTACTAGAGATAAAATTGCTTTGCATACCAACATTTTTGTCCAGAGTATTCTGAATGTGATTCTGTAATGCTTATACCATTGAGTGTTGTGCTTTTGCATGTTTTATGTTATTAATTAGTGGCCTTTTGATACAGCTTAAAGAACTCCCTTTAGTAATTTCTGTGAAACAGGCCCAGTGATAATGAACTCCCTTAGCTTTTGTTTGGGAAAGTTACTATTTCTCTCTCATTTCTGAAGGACAGCTTAACTGATTTAAGTATTCTTGGTTGGCAATTTGTTTTCATTTAGCAGTTTGAAGATATCATCCTACCCCTTTCCTAGCCTGCAGGGTTTTTCCTGATAAATCCACTGATAGTTACATTGGACTTCTTTGTATGTGATATGTTTCTTACTTCTTGCTGCTTTCAGAATTTTTTCTTCGTCTTTAATTTTTGATAGTTTGATTATGAGCCTCGGTGAACTCCTCTTTAACATGTACAGGTCTTGTATACTGAAAACTACAAAACACTGATGAAAAAAAATGTTCAAAGAAGTGGAAAGACATACCTGTTTATGGATTAGAAGACTCAGTGTAGCAAAGATGTAAATTGTTCCAAATTGATATTTAGATTTAACATAATTCCTATCAAAGTCACAGCAACACTTTTTTGTAAATATAAGATTATTCTAATATTTGCATAGATACGTAAAGTAACTAGGATAACTAAAAAAAAATCGAAAGAGAAGAAAAAAGTGGGAGGAATCAGTCTACCCAGTTTCAAGATTTATTTTATAGCTACAGTACTTAAGACAATGTAGTATTATCAGTGAAGGGATAGACACTTAGATCAATAGGACAGAAGAGAGAACCCAGAAATATACCCATACACATAAACCTGACTGCTATTTGACAAAGGTACAAAAGCAGTTCAGTGGAGGGAAGATAGCCTGGTGCTGGAGCAGTTGGACATACACAGGCCACAAGTTGAAACTTGACCTAAGTCATATGGCTTATGTAAAAATTAATTCAAAATGGATAATTGACTTAAAATATAGAACTATAAAACTTTTAGAAAAAAATAGGAAAAAAATTTCTGGGATCTAGAGTTAGACAAAGAGTTCTTATACTTGATACCAAAGACATAATCCATAAAAAAATAAATTGTCCTGATCCTCTCCTTCCTCCCAAATATAAATGAGCTTGGCATGGCAACGGCCACAGAGCACGTGTTTAAGAAGTGATAGTCCCCAAATCAGAGGGGGCCTGACTGCATGCCAGTAACCTCGCTCTCAAGAGCCTGCCCTTCTCCCTTTGCACTGTCTCCCTCCCCACCTCTGTTTATGCTCTATCAAAGAATAAGGTGTGACTAGCACCTCTGGTTAAAAAAAAATGTACTTCATTAAAGTTAAAAACTTTTGCTCTGTGAAAAACCCTATTAAGAAGATGAGAAGACAAGGTACATACTGGAGAAAATATTTATAAATCACATATCTAACAAAGAATAATATCTAGAACTTATAAAGCACTCTCAAAACTCAATAGTATAAAAATAATCCAATTAGAAAATGGGCAGAAGACATGAAGAGACGTTTTACTGCAGAGGATATGTAGATGGCAGCAAATAAGCACAAGAAAAGATATTCAACATCATTATCCACAAGGGAGACGCAAAGTAAAACCACAATGAGATATCACTACACACCTATCAGAAGGGCTAAAATAAAAAATTGTGACAACACTAAATGCTGGCAAGGATACAGAGAAGCTCATAGATTGCTGGTGGAAATGTAAAATTGTACAGCAATTTTGGAAAACAGTTTGGCAGTTTCTTAAAACATTAAACATTGAACTGCCATACCAACCAGCATTTGTACTTCTGGGAATTTATCCCAGATAAATGAAAACATGTTCACTGAAAAATCTGTACACAAATATTTATAGCAGCATTATTCATAACAGCTAAAAACTGGAAACAACCCAGATGTCCTTCATTGGGTGAATGGTTAAACATCCATGTCATTGAATACTATCCAGCAATAAAATGGAGCAAGCTATTGATACACACAACAGCTTGGATGAATCTGCAGAAAAGTATGCTGAGTGAGAAAAGCCAGTCCTAAAAGGTTACATACTGTGTGATCCTATTAATATAGCATTATTAATGTGACAAAATTGTAGAACTGGATAACAGATCGGTAGTTACCAGGAGTTAAGGTGGAGGTGGGGGCAGGAGAGAAGTGAGTGTAGCTATAAAAGGGCAATGGGGCCTGGCGCGGTGGTTCACGCCTGTAATTCCAGCACTTTAGGAGGCCAAGGTGGGTGGATCACGAGGTCAGGAGATTGAGACCATCCTGGCTAACACAGTGAAACCCCGTCTCTACTAAAAATACAAAAAATTAGCCGGGCGTGGTGGCGGGCGCCTGTAGTCCCAGCTACTTAGGAGGCTGAGGCAGGAAAATGGCGTGAACCTGGGAGGCGGAGCTTGCCGTGAGCCGAGATCTCACCACTACACTCCAGCCTGGGCGGCAGAGCGAGACTCCCTCTCAAAAAAAAGGGCAATGGGAGGGATCCTCGTGGTGATGGAATTGCTCTGTTTCTTGTCCTTTTTACGATGTTGCACTATAATTTTGTGAGATGTGCCCACTGAGGGAATCTAGGAAAAAGAAACATGAGTGCACTCTATGATTTCTCACAATGGCATATGAATCTACAATTATTGAAAATAAAAAATTTAATTAAAAAATTAAGCTATTTAAAAAGCAGTGTGCACCTTTATTTGTAAAAATGTCTTTCTTTCACCCACACAGTGATATGTGCTTCCTATTTTAGCTGTTCAGAATATATCTTCTATAATCCATTGCATAATTATTTCCTGCTGTTCCTAAGATGAAACAAATCACTTGAAATTGTTGCTTTAAAAAAAGAACTTAAGTGTGGAAAATAAAGCTGGTTTTACTTATTTTAAATTCTGGATGCATTTGAAGTTGACATGAACATCTATAAAATATTAATATATAAGTATTTGCAATACCTAAGTCAAAAAGTATTTTTTGCAAAATAGTTGTGACTATTTTCATGCTGGGAAAGCTTCTATGAGGACAAACTCCATGGTTTGGAGGTCAAAATGCTTTTCAGGTCTTTAATATCTACATTGAGTCCAAAACTACTTTTGACCTTTATTAAATAAAACTAGAATAAAAACTAGAACTTTTATTATCCTCTCATGTGTGTATACAGTCTTTCCAATGAAGATTTGAATACATTGTATGAAGAAACTAACTCATACGAAGAAACATATATTACAAATTTTCCATCTAACAAACTCCACACTCATGCTTATGTATGTTAAATACTAGGGATAGACTTAACACTTTTAAAAAATCTATTTTGACAAGTTGCCCTGAAAAGGGCATATACCCATTTATACTCTCTGGAATACATGTGCAGAACGCGCAGGTTTGTTACATAGGTATACATGTGCTATGGTGGTTTGTTGCACCCATCAACACATCATTTACGTTAGGTATTTCTCCTAATGCTATCCTTCCCCTAACCCCTCACCCCCTGGACAGGCCCCAGTGTGTGATGTTTCCCTCCCTGTGTCCACGTGTTCTAATTGTTCAACTCCCATTTATGAGTGAGAACATGTGGTGTTTGGTTTTCTGTTCCTGTGTTAGTTTGCTGAGAATGATGGTTTCCAGCTTCATCCATGTCCCTGCAAAGGACATGAACTCATCCTTTTTATGGCTGCATAGTATTCCATGGTGTATCTGTGCCACATTTTCTTTATCCAGTCTATTATTGATGGACATTTGGGTTGGTTCCAAGTCTTTGCTATTGTGAATAGTGCTGCAATAAACATACATGTGCATGTGTCTTTATACTCTTACTAGTGATGTCTAAGAAGGGAAAGAGTTCAATTTTACTGGGGCCAGCAAAATGTCAGGCTCACTTAAGGCCTAGAGAAATGGTTTTCAAATTATTTAGCCAGAGAACTCTGTTAAAAGAAAAGTTTATGTAGGCTGAGTTATATGAAATTGCTATTTTTGCAGGTAATACGGTTGAATATCAGCAGTTTCATATGTTTCAACCTAACAGAAACCTAATAGGTAAAAGCAAAAAAAAAAAGTATAACTGCTCTGATTGATGGTGGAGTAGGGGTGTTCAGAGGACCTCAGAGAAGGGCTCAAGAGCAACTGTCTGCTCTCAGAAAGCCCTGGGCTTGAGAGCAACTGTCTGTTCTCAAAAAGCCCTGGGCAGGAAAGGCAGGTGCAGGAACCTGGAACTCTCAGGGCCTCGGTCAGGGTGTGTGTGTGGGCGAGGGTGGTGCACCGGGTGAGGGCCCTTGTTATGGAGCTGGCAGAGAGGAAGAGAACATCAACAGCTAGCAGGAGAAGAGCTGCTTTGGACAGTTGCCTGTATCAGTAAATCTGACCTTGCTCCTATGTGGGATTGCAGTGTCTGAGAAGCAGTACAGAGTCCCTACAGTCTGTTTTATAATTTGTCTTTTTAAATAGAAGATGAGTATGCATATTATTTCATAGTCAGATACCTCTATATAAAAATGAAATGAAGAGCTAAAGTCAGGAGATATAAAGATTTTTAAAAATTTTCTGCCTTTCTCTTATAAAAAATGTAGTGACTGTAAGAGTTTAATGCATAGCAGAATTAGATACTATTTATTCCCATTTTCCACCCACTTGCGTTTTATTTCAACAGCTTTTGAAACAATGTAGATTTTTAAAAAAATCAATGCTACCAATAGACTGAAGAGTAGGAAAATTGTGCGTTGATATAAAGATGAGAAACTCAAGAGTTATTAGGCTCTTGGCTTTACTTGTAAATATGTTTGCTTCTCTTTGCTTTACCTATAGTGTGGTGTCTTTCGGGGAAAATGCAATCAATTTGAAATTCACTAGATTTGTGTTTTAATTTCATCTCTCCCGCTTAATTTTAATTTCATCTCTCCCACTTAACTTTAATTTCAGCTCTCCCACTTAACTGAGATTATCTGTGAATCTCAAGTCTATAAAATGGAAAGAGTAATAGCTACTTTTGATACTAACATTATAGGCTTCAATGAGACAACAAATTTCAAGTGCCTAGAAGAATGTCCACGTCTCTTAAATACTCAATACTCACTCACGACTTCTTTAACTCCCTTGTGGTGATCATATATTTTTTGTCTATGTTTGGCCATAATCTATAAAGCAGAAGAATTGCATTTGCCTACCTGAAGATAAGGAGTTCTACATCTTTAGAGCAAGTCTTGATCACATTAACATCATATTCATAACAACCAAAAAATTGTACTTCACTTAAAATTGTTTTCCATTTATTGAAAAATCAAGAAAATATAATAATTTTCCATTTGCATGACATCTGTGATGAAATGGCAATGATACTTACTTTCTTCGAGTTGTCCAGACTTCCTCAAATCTCTTATATACAGTCTTCAAAGTGATCAAGACAGAGAAATATGAGAATTCTAACTGATAAAGCTGAGTGGATCGCAAGTGTTTACATTTTCCTCCTCCTTACTTGCAATCAAAATGGTAAAAATAAATACAAAATTAACAATAAATTCATAGCAGTGATGAAAAACAGGGAGAGTTACTACCTGAGGCATTTGCGAAATTCTAAAAGATAAAATCAAATATTGCTAGATTTAGACAAAACAAGAGGAAAAAGCCCACCATCCAACACTGGTGGAAGAGGGGAAGATGTCACTGGAACAATGAGTGGATTTGACATCCTCATTAGACCTCTGCGAAGAATCTCAAGCCTGAGCAACAGGGCATGGTTATCAAAGCCAGGGAGTGGACAGGGCAACCAGAACCTTAGCATCTCCTATGTGGAGCAATCAGCTTTGTTGTTTGCCCACCAGATGGTAATAAGTATCTAAGGAAGGTGAAGGACCCCCTGAAGCTCCTAATGTGGGGACAGTGCCCTAGGTATAAAAAGTGCTTGACCAAGACACCAGATGGTTGAGGAAAAATTAACAACCAAAAAGAGAGAAACCAGGCTTAATGAACAAAGTAAGGAACCTTTAAGAAAACTGACTTAATGCCAGAAAAAGACTCTAATCAGTATCCTCAGAAAGATTTGAGAGGTGATTGAACTTATAAAGTTAATAACAGGCTATTTTAAAAATGGAATACTTGAAAAAAAAGAAAAGTTTTTAAAATTAAAAATAGCATAATCACACCAAAAGTTAAAACAAAATGCCTAAAATTATGTGCCTTATCTTATTTGTTCATTGATGTATCCCCAGAGGCTACAACAGCGCCTGACCACACAGCTGATAATGGTCAATAAGTATTTCCTAGCAAATTAATGAAGGTTCTTTAGGACAATGAACTGTAGAATACTCCCAGTATATAAAACAGGAAGGGTCAAAGAGATCCAATATCCACGCACTAGGAGCTCTAGAAATAGAAGCCATACAGTAAGTAAGAGAGTGTGATGTTAGTACAGGAATAGACAAATAGATCAATGGGAATATAGTCGAGTCCAAAAATGCAAGCCCAATCTCTATTTGGAAATTTAGTATATGATAAAGGTGACATTTCAAATCAGTGGATAAATAATGGTATTGGGACAGTAGGCTATCATTTTGAGAAAAAAATATTTAGAATTAAATATTTTCGTCATATGTATCACACAAAATATCCCAGGTTGATATAGACCCAAAGGAAAATAAATATTTCTACCAAAAAACACCTGCACTCATATGTTTATTGCGGTGCTATTCACTATAGAGAAGACATGGAATCAGCCTAAGTGCCCATCAGTAGTGGATTGGATAAAGAAAATGTGGTACATATACACTGTGGAATACTATGCAGCCATAAAGAAGAATGAAATCATGTCCTTGGCAGCAGCATGAATGTAGCTAGAGACCGTTATCCTGAGTGAATTAACACAGAAACAGAAAACCAAATACCACACATTCTTACTAATAAGTGGGACCTAAACATTGGGTACACACAGACATAAAGATGGGAACAGTAGACACTGGGGACTCTAGCAGCTCCCCCAACCCTGGTGCTCCTGGCCCAGGGTTTTGTAAGGCGGTTTATGGGAAAATTGAACATGTGTTGGGGCTTGGAATCTTGACTTAACTGTTTTCCCACTTTCCACCCTATTTCTACTTTCTTTACTGAGTAAAATTCTTTTCCACCTGCTCCTCCAACCCAGGTGCCCCTGGCCTGCCCAGAAACTGCTGATGCAGTAGTGAGACCATGAGTGTGGGGAAGGGTCAAGGTCAGATGCACTTACTGAGTTGCAGGGCAGAGCCACTGCATTCCTGTAAGAATCTGCCCTCACCCTGTGAGTGTTTCCATGACCAAGGGAGCAATACGTTAAGTAGCAAATAAAAGAACACCATAACAGATCTAGAGAGAGAACATGGGAAAAAGAAAAAAGTTTTTGTACCTGCTCTTGAAACAAGGGGTCCTACCTTTTTATGTTGCACTGGTTCCCTGATTCAATCACAGTCGTTCCTGTGTCTGTTCAACTTTACCTCCTCAGAGAAATTTCCTGTTAACTTTTGTTTGTTGGTTTGTTTGTTTGTTTGAGATGGAGTCTTGCCCTGTTGCCCAGGCTGGAGTGCAGTGGCCCGATCTCGGCTCCCTGCAAGCTCCCCCTCCCAGGTTCACGCCATTCTCCTGCCTCAGCCTCCCGAGTAGCTGGGACTACAGGAGCCTGCAACCACACCCGGCTAATTTTTTGTATTTTTAGTAGAGACGGGGTTTCACCGTGTTAGCCGGGATGGTCTCGATCTCCTGACCTCGTGATCCGCCCACCTCGGCCTCCCAAAGTGCTGGGATTACAGGCGTGAACCACTGTGCCCAGCTGAAATTTCCTATTCACTTTATAGAAAGGGTCACAATTTTTTTTTTTTATAAAAGATCAGAGAGTAAAATAGTTAAGTCTTCGTTCATAAGGTCTACGTTACAACTACTACACTCTGCTACTGTAGCAGGAAAACAGCCATAGACAATACATCAATGAATGGACATGGCTATGTCTCCATAAAACTTTGTTTTCAAACAGTGAAGTTTGAGTTTCATACAATTTTCATGTGTTACTAATATTATTTTTCCTTTTCTAAAAAACGATAAAAAATGTGAAAACCATTCTTAGCTTTCAGGCTGAACAAAAATATTCAGAAGCCTGGCTTTGGCACATAAGATGTAGTTTGCTGACTCCTGCTAAGTAAATATGTATAGAAGCAAGTCCTCTGGAAAGTAGGGTGATATGAGGACTGGACCACAGTGGAGGGATATGTTTTAAAGTGGAGAAGCCACAACGAACACAAGTGCAATTCATTCTACATATCAAAGCTTGGCAAATTCAATATGTAATTTCAGTGAATTTGTGAAAACACTTTTTCTTTTTTATACTGAATGGCTGAGTGCAATTCTATTTGAGTAGTAAAAATTATATTAAATCAAACATGTTTAAATGAATATTCTAGACCTATTCTTTTTTATCTCCATTTTAATATTATGACCATCTCTTTATTCTTTTCTCCCATTGCTGTTATTCCATTTCTCCACATAGATATCTCTTTTTTATTTTAATTTTTAGTTTTTTGGGGTACATAGTAGGTATATATATTTGTAGAGTATATGAGATATTTTGACACAGGCATGCAGTGTAATAATCATTTTGGGGTAAATGGGGTGTTCATCAACTCAAGCATTTTTCCTTTCTTTGTATTACCCATAATTCAGTTATACGGTTTTAGTTATTTTAAAAGGTACAATAAATTATTGCTGACTCTAGTCATAATATTGTGCTATCAAATACTAGATCTTATTCATTCCAACCACATTTTTGAGCCCATTAACTATTCCCACTCCCCCCACCACCCAAATTACCATTTTTAGCATCTGGTAACCATCACTCCACTCTCTACCACTGTGAGTTCAATTGTTTTAATTTTTCTAGTTCCTACAAATAAATGAGAACATGCAATGTTTGTCTTTCTGTGCCTGGCTTATTTCACTTAACGTAATGACTTCCAGTTCCATCCATGTTGTTGCAAATGACAGGATCTCATTCTTTTTTATAGCCGAATAGTATGCCATTGTGTTTATGTACCACATTTTCTTTATCCATTCATATGTTGATAGACACTTAGGTGGCTTCTAAATCTTGGCTATTGTGAATAGTCCTGCAATAAACATGAGAGAGAATGAGCTATGTTTTCGATATACTTTTGGGAATATACCTAGCAGTGTGACTGCAGGATCATATGGTAGTTCTATTTCTAGTTATTTAAGGAACCTCCAAAATCTCCATTTTTCTCTACATTGGTTGTAGTAATTTACATTCCCACCAGCAGTTTACAAGGGTTTCATTTTCTCTACATCCTTGCCAGCATTTGTCGTTGCCTGTCTTTTGGATAAAAGCCATTTTAACTGGGGTGAGGTGATATTTCCTTGTAGTTGTAATTTGCATTTCTCATATGATCAGTAATATTGAACACCTTTTCTCATATCGGTTCGCCATTTGTATGTCTTCTTTTGAGAAATGTCTATTCTGATCTTTTGCCCATTTTAAATCAGATTCTTAGATTTTTTTTCCTTTTCAGTTTTTTGATCTCCTTACATATTCTGGCTATTAATCTCTTGTCAGATGGATAGCTTGTAAATATTTTCTCCCATTCTTTAGGTGGTCTCTTCACTTTATTGGTTGTTTCCTTTGCTGTGCAGAAGTTTTTAGCTTGATATAATCTCACTTGTCCGCTTTTGCTTTGGTTGCCTATGCTTGTGAAGTGTTCCTTAAGAAATTTTTGCCTAGTCCAATGTCCTGGAGAGCTTCCCTGATGCTTTCTTTTAGTAGTTTTGTAGTTTGAGGTCTTAGATTTAATTATTTAATCCATTTTGATTTGATTTTTGTATAAGGCAAGAGATAGGGGTCTACTTTCGTTCTTCTGCTTATGGATATCCTGTTTTTCCACCACCACCCTGTCTTTTCCCTTATGTAACCTTGTGTATGTTCTTGACACCTTTGTCAAAAATGAATTCACTGTCAGTGTATAGATTTGTTCCTGGGTTGTCCATTCTGTTCCATTGGTCTATTTGTCTGCTTCTATGCCAGAACCATGCTGTTTTGGTTACTATAGCTTGGTAGTATAACTTGAAGTCAGGCAATGTGATTCCTCCAGTTTTATTCTTTTTGCTCATGATGGCTTATTCTCTTCTGGGTCTTTTTTGGTTCCATATACATTTTAGGATTGTTTTTTCCATTTCTGTGAAGAATATCATTAGTATTTTGTTAATGATTGCATTGAATCTGTAGATTGCTTTAGGTAGTATGGATATTTTAACAGTGTTTATTCTACCAATCCAGAAAGTGGAATATCTTTTCATTTTCTTATATGATTTTCAATGTCTTTCATCCGTGTTTATAGTTTTCACTGTAGAGCTCTTTTACTTCTTTGGTTAAGTTTATTCCTAGATATTTTATTTTATTTGTAGCTATTGTAAATGAGACTTCTTTGTTCTATTTTTTCTGATTATTCACTGTTGGCATATAGAAATGCTACTGGTTTTTGTATGTTGATTTTGTATTCTGCAACTTTACTGAATTTATCAGTTCTAATAGTTTTTTGGTAGAATCTTTAGGTTTTTCAAAATATGTAAGATTTTGAAAGGCTAATTCAAATTCTTCCTTTTCAACTTGGATGCCCTTTATTTCTTTCTCTTGTCTGATTACTAGCCAGGACTTCCAGTATGACGGTGAATAAGAGTGCTGAAAGTGGGCGTCCTTGTCAAGTTCCAGGTCTTAGAGGAAAGGCTTTCAGTTTTCTCCCATTTTGTATGATACTGTGGGTCTGTTGTACATGGCTTTTACTATTCGAGGTCTGTTTCTTCTATACCCAGTGGGTTTTTATCATGAAGGGATGTTGAATTTTATCAAATTCTTTTTCAGCATCAATTAAATCAGTTATGTAGTTTTTTGTCCTTAATTTTGCTGGTATGTTGTATTATCTGATTGATTTACATAAGTTGAACCATCCTTGCATCCCTGGGATAAATTCCCCTTCATCATAATGAATGGCCTTTTTAATGTGGTGTTGAATTTGGTTTGCTAGTATTTTGTTGAGAATTTTTGCATCAACATGCATCAGGAATATTGGCCCGTAGTTTTCTGTTTTTGATGTGTCTTTGTCCGGTTTTGGTATCAGGGTAATACCAGCCTTGTAGAATGAGTTCAGAAGTATTTCCTCCTCCTCCATTTCTTGGCATAGTTTGAGTAAGGCATGTATTAGTTATTCTTTAAATGTTTGGTAGAATTCAGCAGTGAAGCCATCAGATCCTGGGCTTTTCTTTGCTGGGAGACTACTGCTTGCTCCTAGGAGCCTCTAATGATCCTTTGAATTTCTGTGGCATCAGTTGTAACGTTGTCTTTTTCTTCTCTCATTTTATTTACTTGAGGCTTATCTCTCTTTTCTTAATCTGGCTAAAGGTTTGTCAATTTTATCTTTTCAAAAAACCAACTTTTTATTTTATTTAGCATTTATGGTATTTTCTTTGTTTCAATTTTATCTATTTCTGCTCTGATCTTTATTATTTCTTTTCTTCTAACTTTGGGTATGGTTTTCTCTTGCCTTTCTTGTTCTTAGGATGCATTGTTAGGTTATTTGAAGTTTTTCTACTTTTTTGATGTAGGTGCTTATAGCTATAAATTTTCCTGTTAGTTCTGCTTTTGCTGTAGCCCATAGGTTTTGCTATGTTGTCTTTTCATTACCATTTGCTTCAAGACATTTTTAAATTCCCCTCTTAATTTCTTCATTGACCCATTTGGTCATTCAGTAGCATATTGTTTAATTTTCACGTGTTTGTATAGTTTCCAAAATTCCTCTTGTTATTGATTCCTAGTTTTATTTTATAGTGGATAAAGAAGATACTTGATATAATTTCAATTTATTTTTTAGTTTTTTTAAGACTTGTTTCGTGACCTAACAAATGGTCTATCTTTGAGAATTATTCATGTACTAAGGAGAAGAATGTATATTCTGTAACTGTTCATTGAAATGTTCTGTAGATACCTATTAAGCCCATTTGACCTATAGTACAGATTAAGTCTGACATTTCTTTGTTGATTTTCTGTCTGAATGATCTGTCCAATGATGAAAGTGGGTTGTTGAAGTCTTCAGCTACTATTGTATTGGGGTTTATGTCTCTCTTTACCCTTAATAATATTTGCTTTATATATCTGGGTGCGTATATATTTGAAATTATGATATCATCTTCTTGATTTTCACCCTTTATCATTATGTAATGATTTTTTGTCTGTTTTTATAGTTTTTTCTTGAAATCTATTTTGTCATATCAGTATAGCTACGACTGCTCTTTTTTGATTTTTATTTGCATGGAATATCTTTGTCCATCCCCTTATTTTCAGTCTATGTGTATCTTTATAGGTGAAGTGTATTTCTTGCAGGCAATAGATTGTTGGGTCTTTTTTTTTTAACCCATTCAGCTACTCTCTGTCTTTTGACTGGAGATTCTAGTCTAATTATTCAATATTATTGATATTAATGATAAGCACTTATCCTGCCATTGTGTTATTTGTTTTCTAGTTTTTTGTGTGATCTCCTCCTTCTCTCCTTCCTCCCTCTCTTCCTTTTAGTGAAGATTTTCTCTGCTGGTATGTTTTAATTTCTTGTTTTATTTCTTATGTATCTATTGTAGGATTTTTAATTTGAATTTACCTTAAGGCTTGCAAATAATTTTTTATAATCCATTATTTTAAACTGATGGCAACTTAACACTGATTACATAAACAAACAAGCAAAGGAAAAACTAATAAATATTGTAGCCATTAACTTTGTCCCCCTACTTTTTAACTTTTGTTGTTTCTATTTATGTCTTATTGTACTGTCTATGTCTTGAAAAGTTTTCATACTTGTTATTATCAGTCTATTTTTTCATTTGTCACCTCAAAATATGAGTTCACACATCCCAATTACAGTGTTATACTATTCTGTGTTTTTTTTACTCATGAGTTATGTACCTTCAGATGATTTCTTGTTGCTCATTAACGTCATTTTCTTTCACACTGAAGAACTCCCTTTAGCATTTATTGTAGGAAAGATCTAATGTTGAAGAAATTTCTCAACTTTTGTTTGTCTGGGAAAGTCTTTATTTCTCCTTCATGTTTGAAGGATATTTTCACTGGATATACTATTCTAGGATAAACATTTTTTCCTCCAGCACTTTAAATATGTCATGCCACTCTTTCCTGGCATGTAAAGTTTCTACTGAGAAATCTGCTGCCAAGCATATTGGAGCTTCATTGTACGTTATTTGCTTCTTTTCTCTTGCTGCATTTATAATCCTTTGTTTATCCTTGAATTTTGAGAGTTAAGTTATTAAATAGCTTGAGGTAGTCTTGTTTGGATTAAATCTCCTTGGTATTCTATGGCCTTCTTATACTTGAATATTGAGATCTTTCTTTAGGTCTAGGAAGTTCTCTGTTCTCACTTTGAGTAAACTTTTTATTCCACCCACCTCTCTCCCTCCTCTATAAGGCCAATAACTGTTAGATTTGCCCTTTGGAAGCTATTTTCTAGATCTTGAAGCCATGATTCATTCTTTTTTATTCTTTTTTCTTTTGTCTTCTCTGACTATATATTTACAAATAGCCTGTTTTGAAGCTCACTAATTCTTTCTTCTGCCTGATCAATTCTGCTTTTAACAGATTCTAATGCATTCTTCAGTATACCAGTTGCATTTTTCAGCTCCAGAATTTCTGCTTGATTCTTTTCAATAATTTCAATCTCTTTGTTAAATTTATCTGATAGGATTCTGAATACCTCATCTGCGTTATCTTGAATTTTGTTGAGTTTCCTCAAAGCAGCTTCTTTGTTCTCATTTCTTTTTTTAAATTTTTTATGTAACTTCTATTTTGAGTTCAGGAGTACATGTGCAGGTTACATAGGTAAAATAGTATCATGGGGTTTGTTGTACAGATTATTTTGTCACCCAGGCATTAAGCCTAGTACCCATTAGTTATTTTTCCTGATGCTCTCCTTCCTCCTACCCTCCACTCTCCAATAGGCCCAGTATGTGTTGTTCTTCTCTATGTGTCCATTAGTTATAATTTAGCTCCCACATATAAGTGAGAACATGCAATATTTGGTTTTCTGTTCTTGTGTTAGTTTGCTAAGGATAATAGCCTCGGTCTCCAACCATGTTCCTGAAAAGGACATGATCTAATTCTTTTTTATGGCTGCATAGTATTCCATGCTATATATTATATCCCACATTTTCTTTATCCAGTCTATCACTGATGGGCATTTAGATTGATTCCATGTCTTTGCCGTTGTGAATAGTGCTGCAGTGAACATATGTGTGTATGTGTCTTTATGACAGAATGATTTATATTCCTTTGGGTATATACCCAGTAATTAGATTGCTGGGTCAAATGGTATATTTTTGTTTTTAGGAACAGAAATATCCTCAAAATTTCTGTTTGATGAATCACCATAGTGTCTTCATGGTTGAACTAATTTAAACTCCCATCAACAGTGTATAAGTGTTCCTTCAGTTGGAATAAAAGAAAAAATTGACAAATGAAATCTAGTAAAACTAAAGAGCCTCTGTACAGCAAAAGAAACTGTCAACAGAGTAAACAGACAACCCACAGAAGGGGAGAAAATTTTTGCAAACTATTCACCTGACAAAGGCTAATATCCAGCATCTATAAGAAATTAACTTACATTTACAAGAAAAAAAAATCAACCCCCATTAAAAAGTGGGCATTGGGGGCTGGGTATGGTCGTTCACGCCTGTAATCCCAGCACTTTGGGAGGATGAGGTGGGCAGATCACTTGAGGCCAGGAGTTCAAGACCAGCCTGACCAACACGGCAAAACCCCGTCTCTACTAAAAAGACAGAAATTAGCCAGACATGGTAATGCTTGCCTGTAATCCCAGCTACTCGAGGCCCTGAGGCACAAGAATCACTTGAACCCAGGAGGCAGAGGTTGCATTGAGCTGGGATCATGCCACTGCACTCCAGCCTGGGTGATAGAGACTCCGTCTCAAAAAAAAAAAAAAAAAAAAAAAAAAGAAAGAAAAGTGAACAGACACTGCTGCTCAAAAGAAGACATACATGCAGCTAACAATTATATGAAAAAAAGTGCTACATCATTGATCATTAGAGTAATTCAAACCAAAACCACAATGAGATACCATTTCAAATCAATTCAGAATGGCTATTATTAAAAAGTCAAAAAATAACACATGCTGGGAAGGTTGTGGAGAAAAAGCCACACTTATACACTACAGGTGGGAGTATACATTAGTTCAACCATTGTGGAAGAGAATGCAGTGATTCCTCAAAGACTTAAAGTCAGAAATACCATTCGATCCAGTAATCCCATTACTGCGTATATACCCAAAAGAACATAAATCATTCTATTACAAAGACACGTCATGCGTATGTTCATTGCAGCACTATTCACAATATGAAAGACATGGAATCAACCTCAATGCTCACCAATGATAGACTGGATAAAGAAAATGTGGTATATATACACCACGGAATACTATGCAGCCATAAAAAAGAATGAGATCATGTCCTTTGCAGGGACATGGATGGAGCTGGAGGCTGTTATCCTGAGTGAACTAATGCAGGAGCAGAAAATCAAATACCACATGTTCTCACTCATCACTGGGAACTAAATGATGAGAACACATGGACACATAGAGGGGAACAACACACACTGGGGCCTATCAGATGGTGGAGGGTGGGAGGAGGGAGAGGATCAGGAAAAATAACTAATGAGTACTAGGCTTAATACCTGGGCGATAAAATAATCTGTTAAACAAACCCCCATGACACACCTTTACCTATGTAACAAACCTGCACATGTACCCCTGAACTTAAAATAAAAATATAAAAAAGGAAGGTTCACTTTAACATCTCATAAAACTAATTAGTGAGTTTCATGACTTTCCTTCATCTTTCAACTACATCATTAGGAGAGTAAGAGAGGGATAGAAAAATGTCACTTCTACTAATATTGTATTTGATGAGAATTAGTCACATTGCCCAACCCAAAGGCAAGTCAGGCTAGGAAATAAAAGGAAACCTATAGTTACGGTTTTATTGAGCACAAAATTGAGGTGTGAAACAATTCCATAGAACAGGAGTGGCCAAATATTTTCTCTAAAAAGCCAGACATAATAAATATTTCAAGTGTTGTGGAAAATATGACCTGTGTTGCGACTACTGAACTCTGCAATTATAGTACGAGGGCAGTCATAGACCATAACTAAATGAGGGAGCAATGGGTGCAGTTTTGTTCCAATAAAACTTCATTTTTAGAAACAGGAAGAAAGCCAGATTTGAGCCACAGGCCATAGTTTGCTGACCCTTGCCTTAGGGCATGACTAAGTATAATGCTTCTAATTTTTCATCACCCTTACTGCTATGTGATACTGAAGCATAATCATTGGATTGCTTGTCTCTTTTTCGAAGACTCATGTGCCATCCATCCTCCCACCTCGTTTATATTCATACAGAAAACAGGGACAGTGTCTTGTTTTATTCCTATCACAGTGCTTACGTGCATGATATCTGCAGTTTAGTGTATGTTCAGCAAATATTTGTAGAATGAATTAATATTGCACAAAATAGCTTGTTTGTTTTCATGATTGCATAAAACATTGTGTTTTTAAAGCAGTTAGAACCATGGGTGGTCAGGATTCAGAAACATGTATTTAAGAAACAATTAGAAATGGGGGAATCATATATATCATTTGGCTTGACCTTTATAAAATTTATGAGAAGAAACATAGAAATGTGGTCCATTGCCTACACATAAAGTGAAACAAAAACACAACACAATAAAACAAAGCCTAGAATGATGGGCTCCATTGGAGCCAGCGCTATAGCTCATGCCTTTCTAATTGCTATTATAGAATGTGGTGGAAAGGACATTGAATGTGAAATTGAGATTCAGCAGTCCCAAGGACAGACATTTCATGAGAAACCAAGCCTGACATTAAACCCTGATCTTTTGTATTTCAAAAGCAACTGAGTCCTCTGTGGGTGCTAATTTGAATTCTATTACTGAGTTGATGTGTCATAATAATAAATGACTTGCACTCTCTTGCATAACAATATTTATACCTCTCAATGTCTTTCATAAAAATATTTGGTGAAATATTGGTGAAAGAATAAATCATATTGTGATAATTTACACACCTTATATATTTTTTTAAAAACCCTATACTGTGCAGATATTTTCCATATGATTGTCTATTTTAGATTATAGATTAAATGATATCTACTTGGAAGAAAATGATAAGCTGGAAGAGACAGCAATTTGAATATTTTGCAGGAAAATAATCTATGGAGTACAGGGATTAACACATATTTAAGGGTAATAAAAACATTAGTAAACCAAAAGTTAATTGTACTTTGGAGAAAGTAAAGTACAATAAACTTTACCTTATTATAAAAAGTTTACATTTGATCTCTTATAATTATTATAAGAGATTTTTAGTATTTCAGTAATATAAACTAAAAAATAAAAAGTAAGAAAGGTAGAGTTGAATCCTGGGAAAAACACACACATTTGAGAGCCAAAAAACTGCAGTTTTTCTGAAGGACAATGTTAGAAGCTCTGCTAGGCAAGAAAAGAAAGTGAATATAATTAAAACTATGGGGAAAAAGCCCCAGAAAATTGCTACGGGGAGTAATTCATTACTGACAAAGGGTATAGATTATATCTGCTATTACTCCATGATTTTAACTTTTATGTTTAAATTGACTTTTCTTGCTATTTGGGGATTAATTAAAATTCTTAAAAAAGAAAATCAAAGTTCACTAAAAATACCAAGCATATTCTTAGATCTTAGAAAATGTTCCATATAACTTTATTTAATTCTGATGATAAAATTCCAGCATCTTGTACTTGGGAACAATATCTAATGCCACCAATTCCTTGGACTATTTAAAGAATAAAAAAATGGAACTGCCTTAATTATTCTTCTATGTTGTAAGGCCCTTTTATTATTAGATTCTATATCCTCTGGGTCTGGCAAATGCCAGATGCTTAATAAATGTTAGTTGAATGAAAGGTGACTTAAAATTGCAACTTTCAAAATTGATTACCAAGAGAAATTTTGTGCACTATATTTTTACAATCTTCTGGGGAAAGCAAATGAAAAGCCTAACCTATCACATCAACTATGCCATAATATTTTCTCATTAAATAATTTTTTATTATTTAATTCATCAAGAAATTAATGTATCTCTGTAAAGCACAATTATATTTTAAGTATAAAACCCAGATAGTTTTTAACTGAAAAAAATTATCACTTAGATTAAATTGATGGGGAGATTGGGCTGAAGATGAACATGATCATATTAATACTCTCGTCATGCTCATTTATTTTAGCCTAAACAGCGAACATCCATTGTGTCTTCTCTGGATTTTCACCGAATGAATCACAACCAAGAATATTTTGAAATCAACACATCTACAGGGTGCACAAGCTTTACTGCCAGTCCTCCTGCTAGTCCACCCACCTCTTCTGTGGGAACCACAGAAGTCAAGAATGAGGGAACTAACCATACAGGTAAAGCAGTTCACTTTATGCAGCTGTATTTTTATTTTAAGACTGAAGTATTTATGAGTTAGAGGAATTAGGAGGAGTCTTCGTACAAATTGCATTGTGTTTTTAGTTCACCTCCATGTGTGGCAATGTAGGGCTTTAAGATTCTTGTCAGTGTGGCTGTAATATTCTTTTTGAATACATGGATGGCCTTTTGGTGTTAGATATTAAAGATGATGATTTAATGTGATTATAGTAGTAAAAATACCAGGGACCTGGAAATGTTCTTCCACTGCCATTTACCCCTCACCACACAGCGGTATCAACTAATCAACAGACAACTTTATTAAGAGATGCTTTGAAGCCGGAGAACTTATATCAAGGATGTCTGGTAAGAAGGAATTGTACAATGTGGCCTAGGCTGGCTTTCAACCTATTTAAACCATGGTGAACTTGCAGAGGAAGTGTGTTGGGGGAGAAAATGCTGGGTGTGAGGGTAAGATTAAGAAAAATAACACCACCCACTAGTAAAACATACATTGTTCCATGCAGTCAGATTTGCAAAGCTTTCTTTATTTGGGGGACAAGGAGCTAACGCCTGGCAAGGCCAAGGGACATATTAGAAATAAGAGAAGTGGGACCCAAAGAATATCCTCCCCTGCCATATAATTTACAATAAGGGTTAAAGACAAATACAATATAGAGACAAAAGTCTTAATTTTAAATGTTTTATTTGGAAATCAAGAATTGCATTTGTGGCATACTCATAGGCTGGATGGTCTTCATTATGTCCAGAGAACAGACGGATAGAGGTTTTACAAAAAAGGGGAAAGTTACATATTGCTCTTTGAGGAAGTTCATTGGCACTAATAATATGTTGGTGAGCTGGAAAGTTTTGATTGGTAAGTGATGGCTATGGGTAAAATGATTCTCAGAGTTGCAGCAGGTTGTTTCAGTAGCTATTAGATAAAACTGGTTTCAGGTTACAGCAGGCAGCTTCAGCAGCCAAGCTCACAGGGAATTACATTGTTGGAACAGTGTTATGTGCCCTAGATGTTTTCTCCCCTTGACCTCTCAACTGTTTTAGTTGGGTATAACAAGAATGACCTAATTCATATGGTCAACTTTCATGTAAGTAAACAATTACTTTCCTTCCAAGAAACATGATTCAAAAACCCAGCCTAGCATTCATTCAGTGAATTCAAATTCTGATTTGAATTTAGAATAATGAAGTGTGGTCTATGTGAGTATTCCATATAATCTTTGTTCACAGTGAGTGTATGTGTATATATGTATGTTCATATACCTACTTAAGTCCTTTAATCGGACTCTATGTTTAAAAGCACTAACACAAACATTCTGGAAATATAGTCAGAGAATTACTTTTCCCTAGGAATAAAGCTAAGATTTTAAAAACAATGACTAATGGGAATGATAAGATTGACATTCTATGGAAGTTATAATCCAAACTTTCATGGAAGCCGGAGTGATATTTATAAAATGTAAATCAAAGCATGTCATTACCATGCTTAAAATGTTCCCATGTCTTCTAATCGCACTTAGAATAAAACCCAACTCCTTACCATATCCAGTGATGCCTAATTTAGCCTGGTTCCTGACTAGCTCTGTAACTTGACTGAACTCATCCTGGCCATACTGGCTTTCTTTGCTGAACATTCTAGCCCTGGGGCTTTTGCACTTTGTTTCCTTCTGCCTGGAATCTCTGCCTTAAAATTTTCATGTGCCTAAGTGTCATTTAGGTTTTGGTTCAAATGCATTTCCTCATAGAGGCCTTCCCATACCACCCTATCTCAAGTAGATGTCCTCAACGTGATAAGAATTATAACAATAAAAATGCAAAAATAACAATAATAATAAATACTTAAATGACACTATGTGTCAGGAACTGTTTTAGGCATTTTATGTATATCAATTCATTTAAACCTCATGACTGTTATATAAATTCGGTATTATCTGTAGATAAGGAAATACACAAAGAACATAAGTAACTAAATAACAGCCCATAATGACAAAGCTGGAAAAAGTTCTGGTATGAACTCAAACCTGGTACTAGAGTTCATGTTTTTAACCATTTTTCTATATCACTCTAGTCACTTCTATCAAATCATCCCGTTTTCTTTTATCCATAGCCTTATCTCCTATGTAAAATTATATTGGTTACTTCTTTACTTATTTCTTGTCGTCTTTCTAGAATGTAAGCTGCAATAGGTTGGTCTCTGGCCCATTGTAAGCACTGAGGTCAGACTGCCAAAGTTTGATTACTAACTGTGAAACTGAGCCTCTTACCTAGCTATGAGACTTGATCTCTTTATGCTATAGTTTTCTTACTATAGAATTAGATTAACAATGAATTAATTAGATTAACTTACCCTGTACTGTGGTGATGCATGTAAAGTGACTAACACAGTGCCTGGCAGATAGTTAGTGCTCAATAAATGTTAGTAACTATTAGTAGTAGTAGCAATAACAATGATATTAACATAATTCTTTGTATTCTACATCAATCCTAGCATTCATTCAGTGAGCATTAAAATGTATTGTCTGCTATGTACTAAATGCAGTTTTATAGGACAGGAGAGATGAGATGTGATTTGTAAAAACAAAAAATAGTGGTATGTGGACCTGGGAAGGGTTCTGGGCATATAATTATTATTCAAACAATATTTATTTGAATGACTAGTTCCAGATTTGAAAACCTAAAATGGGGCAATGACAGATGCTTTGATACTTGCCTTTCAGAATGCCTTTCTTGGTTTTGTTTTAGTTAGTACATTGTTTTGGGGATGATCGATTTTCTGAATATTTTTCAACAGGTAAGAATCGGTTTTCAACAAATTTTTCTGTCTCAGTTGGATAGGAATATTACCTTTTCCCCTTTATTATTTTAATTAAAAGCAATAGAAATTTAGGTCTAGTCCCAAAGCCCTGGCGCCTTTTCTCCACTCTGAAACTGACCACCAGAAGCAGAGGATCAGAACAAACACATTTTGCTGCTGCCAGGAGTTCAGTGGCATCATCCAAAATGTGTGGAGAAATTGTAATCATCAGGATATTTTCAGGTCTGACCTTTAAACAGAACTGAAATCTAACCTTTTAACAGTTGAAATGGTTTCCAATACCATGTTACAGTGGTTTTCTAAGATAATATATCACCTCCACATTACATAAACAATTTTAGGATAGACTGATATTTAGTAATAATGTGAAAGCACAATTTGCTTTGCTTTACATTAAAAAGGAAAACTTGTAAGGAAGGCATTTGTACTTGCAAAAGTAGCATTTTATTAGCTTACACATATTTAATTTGTTATGCTTTACAGACATTGCCACTGGGTATATAAAGAGAATGAGTTGAAGAGTCAGTTCCATCACTGATTTGCTAGATATTTTCCATCAAAACCTTTAACTTTTCTGACATTTAATTTGCTCCTCTGAAAGTGGAAATAATATCTACTCTTTAGGTATTTGTAGTAATAAATGAGTTTATGTTAATACATTTTGTAAACCTTGGCAACTAATATTATTCTTTAATATTATCACAGTTATTGCTTAATATTATTTTTGTTTTTAATACTATTATTTGAAATCTGTAGTAGCTTTAAGATAGGGGGGCCTGTTGTAAGTCTGTACAAGGTATGCCAAGGTAGCTGACCAAGCTTATGCCGAGATAGCTGACCTTTTCTTGACTTAGAAGTATAATTTAAATTTACTGATTAATCTACATTTCATTTTATAAATGATTGCATACACAAAAAATTAATCTTGACCAAAATGGCATTTAACAGAACAAAGACTAATACATCTTCAAAAATAAATCGTATGCTGCAAAACACTTTTAAGTGAACCAATGAATTTATTATAACAGAGGGCCATTTAAAAAGTAGCTTGAATTGTGATTAAAGCTTCAACTTGTGAATCATCAAAAAAGGTTGTTAGAATTAAAAAGCTTTGGTGTTATACAGTCTGGGGAATGATATAAATAGGTTCACATTTAACTAGAAAGTTCACTCTAGTATTAATATGTAGTAGATTTGAGATGAAATGACATTGGAGAAGGGGAGAAATAGTTTCATAGCAAAGGGAAAATGTAAATTGGTTTAAGAGATACAAGGAAAGAGTAATTAACAGGTCATGGTAATTGGATGTGCAAAGATGAGGGGAAATATTTCAAGGAGGGCTCTAAAGTTTCTAGCTTAAGCTGATGAGTGAAAGGTGGATGCTCTTCCTTGAAATGTAGAATATTTGTAGGTAAGAAGAGAGGGTGAGGGATAGATTATGTAAGGCCCTAATAAGCCATTTCAGGACTTTGGCTTTAACCCAGAGTGATTTTTCTTAGAGCCTATTCAGTTCTTTCAGAAGAAAAGTCACATGATCTAACTTCTATTTTATGAGGATTAATCTGGCTATAATGTCGATCATGGATGGGGAGAGGGAACAAGGGTGGATGCAGGAAAGCCAGTTAGAAGGCAATTGTAGCATTGCAGTAAGAGAGGGAAAGCAGCTAAGATCACAGGTGAATCAGCAGAGTTAGAGAGAAATGGAGAGATGTTGGACATATTTTTAAGGCAGATCCAATGGAATTTCATGGTGGAGTGGACATGGTATATGAGAAAATGAGAAGAATTAAGGATGACTCCAAGACCTTTCTCCTTAACAACTGTAAGAATGAATTTCCTATCGTTTGACACACAAGAGATTTGGGGAAGAGAAGGTTTGGTAAACAGTGAGAAATACCAGGAGTTAATTTTGAGATGCCTACTGAATATCTGAATAGATGTGTCAAGTAGGCAGCAGAAGGTCCAGTCTGCAGGTATAGATGTGAACGTCGTCATTATACAGATGATATGCAGCGTGTGTAGAGGAAGAAGACCAATAACTGAGCTTGAGGAAGGATGGAATGAAAGGCAGCACCAGCAAGGGAAGCTGATAAGGAGCAACCTGTGAGATAGAAGGAAATCTTTTGGTGAGTGTCTTGTTCTGAAGTCAGGTGAAGAAAGTTATTAAGAAGGAAAGAGGGATCAACTCTGTCAAATATAGCTGATAAGTTAAGTAGGATGAGGACTAAGTTAGAATAGGTTCATGGATTTAACAATATTGGGGGTGGGGGGGTCACTGCTGACCTTGACAAGAGCAATTTGGTTGGAAATGATAGAGCCTCATGTGGTGGTTTTAAGGGAGAAAGGGAGGAGAGGACTTAGAGTAATGATAGACTACCCTTGAAGGAATTTCTTCACAGGGGAATTTTTAAGTTACGATGGAGGAGAAAGAGGGGATGATGAATTCTATTATTAACCAAGTGGAGAGACTGGTTTTGGACAGGAGCATGAACAGATGTTTTGGTTGTGGGTGCAAATACTGGCAGGAGATCCATGTGGTGGGAATCTGGGGAAGATCTGTTCTGATAGTTTTCAGTTTTTCTACAAAGTAGAGAGCAGCAGCTTCAATTGAAACCAAAGACAGAGAAGGAAATGTAGAGTTTGAGGAAAGAGAGAACAGTGTGAAATAGTTGTTTAGAAGAAACAGTGAGTGGACAAAGGAGGTATATGATGTGATCACCTGGCAGCATTAAAGGCCTATTTAAAGTCTGTGTTCATGCATTTAGAATTAGACTATCCAATGTGGTTCTGTGTTTTTCTCCAGCCTATGTCAGCTGGAGGATGCAGGTGCAGAGTATTTGGAGAGTTGAATTTTACATAGGTTGTGGTTTTGCTAAATTGGTATATTGAAGTGATTGAAGAGCAAGGAAATATAAATGCAAGGGAGTGTAATATTTAACCATAGACTTCAAGATGAAGAGGGAAGTGAAAGAGAACAAGGAGATAATTAACACTGAAAAATCAATAAGATCTTAGGACTGGAGATTCCAGTGGGGTCAAAGTATTGCTGGAGTCAAGGTATTAAAGAAGAGGGTTGGAATAATTGTTGGATTCAAAGAATGGGATGCACAAGGAACTAGGAATGATTATAATTATCAGCAATTGTCTTAAGACCATGGGACTGAGCAGCTGAGTTAGCCTCTCCTCCATCAACATATTCTTAAATACTGCAATTAAATCAGTACAACAATTTCCTGGAAGAAATGTTTGATACTTCTAAAGACATAACATTCACTGCGTTCATAATATTTAATCTTTCCATTTGTTTAACACATTGTAATATAGATCACCTTTATCTGAGTTCACTTCTTCTATACTTTGTCCCACTCTTCCTTGAGGTGCCAAGGCTCCTCATGTCATTCCCTGGCTGCCAAAGTCTCCCTAAGAGAGGTGTTTCATTCAAGGCCACTTCCCTAAGGGGCTCTCTCTGCACATGGCCACTATGTGTCTCATTCTCATGTGAAACCTTTGAATGACCTGAGAACCCATCTGCTAAGATATTTCAATCTCTTGGGTCCCCTTAATGGTTGCCAGTGTGTTCTTCTTTCCTCGGGTAACAGTTTTTTTTAAATAGAGGTGGTGAGGAGTGGTAGAATTCTGGATCTATGTTAAAGGTAGATCTATCTGTCTATCTATCTATCTATCTATCTATCTATCTATCATCTGTCTATCGATTGATCTATCAATCTATCTACATATATATTTGGATGAATTGGAGGTAGGATATAAGAAAATAAAAGGGACCAAAGTTGTAATTCAAAGATATTTGGTGTTTTGACCTTTGGAAAGATGGAGCTGATATTAGTGGAGATGGGGAAATCTCAGTTTTGAACATTTTAATTTGAAAATCTGTTGGATATTCAAGTAGATATGTAGAGTAGATAGTTGAGATAATGATTTTTTTTCAGTGAGGGAGGGTAGGGTGGGAGGAAGCCATGTGATAATTTTATGCTTATCAGAAGTAAAGAGTATCCGTTTTAAAAGACCGAAAAATAGCATCTCAGCCTATTGTGAGTGAATTTATGAGTTCTGAACTCTGGATAGTTGTGTTGTGAATTGCTGGGGGAAAAGAAGCTGAGCATCGCCAGTGATAACAGGTGTTCTCTATCTTTATAGAAAGCTGTGTCCAAAAAGTTGTTTCCACATGAAGAATTTTGTGCATTAGCACTTTCTCAAGGGCACCTGCTAAGCAAGTCAACTACCTTGGGTAACTAATTATCTTCAGTTTTGCTAGTAGTTTCAAACCATCACCTCCTGCAGGAGAAAACTGATGGGAGGAGAAAACCCAAAAGGAGTAAAGTGGAAAAGTGCTTCTTTCCAAGTGGGAGAAATAACAAAAACAAAAGCCTGTAAGTGCTTAGCAGCATAGGACGCTTTTCTGCAAAGGAGAGAAAACACTAGAGGAGAACTAAAATTAGAATGGAGAGGGTGGCATAGGCCTCTCACACTGATCAGGGATTGCCAGAAAGGCAAATGAAGGCCTGTGTTTTAATTAGCTCACATGGCCTGGAAATAGACCTCCTGAAGCTGAGACATCATTATTACAGCAGCCACTGGACACAGGCAGCTGAGGGAGGCTTTGGCCTCCAGCCGACAGGAAGGCCAGGAACAGGCTGCTGAGATGACCTCTCAACTCCAAGCTAAGATTCGGGGCAAGCTGATATGGAGAAAGTAAAGGGTTAGAGAGGATGATGCGAGATTACATCTTTGGGACCTGTTTTCCTAAAAATATATACATTAAATATATTAGCTGAGTTATTGGTTGGTAAGTTCAGTACTTTCAATAGACCAGGATTTTAGGTACCCTAGAGGCAAGTATTTTTATATCAAATGCTGCATATAGATGTAATGGTAAATTATATTCTTGTCACTTCTTGATAAATCATGAAATGTGTCTCCTGTACTTTTTCCTGTTTTCCTGTGGTGTCACATGATGACTTTCACCCAGTGCCTTTGTGACAAATTGCACATCAGGTAGAAGGCAAGGTACAGGTTACGAGATGCTTGATGAAGAAAAGTTGATTGCTTTTCAGCACTTAAAATTATGAAAATATATAGTTAGATAATGGGGTGATGTTAGTTAGCTAGTGCATGGGACTTGCTACTCCAAATGAAATTAGTTGATATAATACTATTGGCTTACCTAAGCAATATTAAATAAATATGTTTACTCAGGGTGTGCCATGAGAAAGTGCTGTGAGAGTATCTCAAGGGGGTGACTGATCTCATGCCAACAATGAGTGGGGCTCTGAAAGACAAAGAAGAATTAAGTAGGCCAAGGTGGGGAAGGAAGATTATTCTTTAAAGAAGGAATAGCATATTTAAAAAAATCCCTGTGGTAGAAATTAACATGAAACTGCAGGTCAGAGAGAAAGGAGAGAAATGACAGCAGTTGAAGCTGCAAAGCGAGTAAAAGCCCAATCAAACCCTTGTAGCTACCTTCAGGATTTTGGTATTTATCCTAAGAGCAATGAGAAGTCATTGATAGGTGTTTTAAACGAAGAGAGATGATCTGATTTGCATTTTACTGTCCGGTGGCTCTTATTTTCTCTGTGAACCAAGAGCAAGGCTGTCTTTGGAGAGTAACAAAAGAGGGCAAAGATGAGATATTTGAGGAGGATGGAGAAAGTTTGAATTAGCTTTTTGTTCAAACTCCTAACGAATGAATGGCTGGTACATGGGGCCGGAGAGACACACAGGAAAAGGGATAATAGGGAGTGGGCATCCCTTCCAGTATACCTGTGGCCTGCAGGTGGCATATTTAGGTCAAGACCATTCTGGCCAGAGCCTGGAGCTCTTTCTGGCTGGTCACCTCAGCTCGCCTCGCACTGGCAAAGTGGTCCCTCTGAGTCTCTGCCAGGTCGGCCATCTGTCTTTCCTAGCCTCTGCAGCGGTCACCTCTCCCCTTGCCAAGCTGGCCCCAGGGCAGTCCAGTTGGCTTTCAGACCAGCTGCCTGCTGAGGCCCCCTTCTGGAGGCTCCAGGTACCTCTGGGTCTCATTCGTAATTTAGGAATATCAGTGGGACTCAGAAAGATTTATCCCCAAAATCTTGCTAGTCCTTACCACAGGGAACTATCAAGTTTAATGGGATGTGGCCCTGCCCAGAATCTAGATGGGATTGGGAACCCAGAGCTCTCTTTTCTTATGTTTGCCCAATACCTATTTATTATGCTACATTCTCTCGAGGCCAGTGCCCAGAAAGGAAAGTTCCAGACACAAATGTAGAACTATTTCCCTATCCTCCCCATCTCATTCAGCCTTTTCCGTTTTGAAATTCTCCAGAAGCTGGTATGTCCTTTCTCTTCTGGGATGGGCTTCTCATTTGTCTATACAATAGATCTTCATACGTCATTCTGATTGGTCTAAAGCAGGACTCTGATTTTTAAGTCTATTGACTTGCTAACCCACCTTTTCTTCCGTGAGGGCATTAGGTACCCTGTCCAGCCCTGGAAGAGGAGCAGTTTCCAGTGAAACACAATTTGAAGATGGAAATATATCAAGTTCTTCTTTAAAAAATACTATCCCTATTACATTAAGCCAGTGCCATTAACTGCAAACTACATAAACACAACATATGCTTAATTAATGTAGCTTCATAAATGCTTAATACATGTGGGTATTATTACTTTTTTATTGCTGTTATTACTAAAGATCTAGGCAACAAGCAGAGCCTGAAATTTTAGAATTCTGTACAAATTGCAGAGCACCCGGGTGCTATGAGTCCAGCCAGGCACCAGAGTCTTAAATTCACAAAATTGCTTGGAACAAGCAGGTCAACCTGCTGATGAGCAGAGCTGAAAATTCCATCTGCTCTGTGCCCCAGTTTTATGTATCCTGGGGTGGGAAGGTGTGTCACTGCTGGGGACAGCCAGAGTCCTACAAGCGCTAATCCTTCCAAAATTACAGCAGAGGCAAGGGCGCAGTAGTTTCAGAGAGATTTTGTGTTGAAAATCTGTTTTTTTTTAAATCAATTTTTTATTAACTCAATTTTCTCTTGCTTTAACTTCTATTAATGCACGTGAAAATATAACAGATTTGTTACCTGAAATTTTCTTTGAAATTCAAATTTATTGCTGTATATATCTTCTCTCTAATTATCTTGTCATTTTTAGTTTACTTAGTAGTTTTTCTCTCCTGACTTTCTCAACCAGGATGTTTATATCTCTTGAAAAATCTCCCTGCGTATTAGTTATATTTGTGTGATATATGTGTGATCATTAAAGTTAAAAATAAAGCTGTGAGAGAAAAGCTTACGGTAATTGAAAAATTAAAACAAAAGGAGGAAAAGAGTCTTTTGGTATTCCCAGGTTGGTGCTATGGAGAAAATCCCCTCCTTCCCCCTAGTTGAAAACAGTTTTCAAACTACAAGTCCTTTTTCTCTATTCAGATCTTCTATCTGTACAGTCTTCTTTGGGGAGAACATCTTCCCCTCTTGCTCTCTGCACTTGTCTATGTTGGGTGGGTGCCTCATGTGTTTACCTGGGGCCAGGCCCTTCAAACGCAGGCTTCACTTTTAGGTGTCATGCCACAGTGAGCCAGCCTGTAACAGAACTTGTTCCAGACATTCTCCCCAGTTACTTCTACCTACTGGATAGACTGATTGTTCCTTGCCTCTCCTAGACTCTAGTGACCTCAACTCTTCAAATCTGTCATTGGCAGGATTCTAAGAAGGCTGTGATCCTGCTCCCTGTCTCCAGGCCTTTGTGTGAGGTCCTTCTTTTGAGTGTGTGTGAGGCCCATAACTTGCTACTAGCCAATGGCAAAGGTGATAGGATATAACTCCCAGATGTTTTAGGGCAAAGGTGAATGGATTGTGCAGATGTAATTAAGGTCTCCAATCACTGGTTTTAAGTTAATCAAAAGAGAGATGAACTGATAATAAGCTGATTCCTTAAATTTCGGGCATAGAAGTTAGCAACTTGATGCAGCTGAATTTCTCTCTCTTTGTTGCTAGCTTTGGAGAATAAACCACATGAGCTCTGCAGCTGCAAGGAAGCAAATTGGGCCAACAGTCTGTGAGCTTAGAAAAGGACCCTGGCCCTCAGATGAGAGCTGGAGCCCTGGCCAATATCTAAATGAGACCCTGAGCAGAGGGCCCAGTTAAGCCACCCAGACTCCTGACTCTTGTAAACTGTGAGATAATAAATGCATGCTCTTGTAAGCCACTAAGTTCGTTGTGCCATATTATGGAGAGGCAGAAAACAAACATATCCCATGCTCCTCTGATTTTGGAAAGAGAGTGTCTGTCCCTCTCTCCATCTGCTCTGGCCTCAAGGTGCCTCTCCCATCAATACCAGTCCCTTGATCTTTTTGAGATTACACAATAAAGAGGGAAGGATTTTAAAACTGTCACCTTTGCCCCACATCCCCAAGCTCAACTTAACCACTTATGCAATTTTCTATCCTATCATTCCCAAAATACCAATTTTTACTTTAATAGGTACTAAATTATAAAGCTAAAGCTCTGATAATGAAATCTTAAGACATAAGACAGAGGGTGGGAGACTATATTAGGGATCATCCAGACCTAAATAAACTATTGATGTCTCTCATTTAGGCTTCCCACCTCCAGGACTTGACAGTCTCTTAAAGCTAACAGAGTTCTTTTTTTATTTTTATTTTTTTAAAAAGGATATCTGATCATGCCATTCCGCTGTTTAAGAACATCTTATGCTTTGTCCCTGCTTAATAACTTTTATATAAGAATATCCAAATGTCTTAGCATGCTCAACACAGTCCTTGATAATTTGGATATAACTTCCTGTTCACCTCTATCCAAATATATCATGGACTTCTAAGTATGTTGTTCTTAGAGTTCATGGCTCCTTGTTTTAAGTACTTTTTCATCATCTTGGAATGCCTTGGCATCTAATCTACTTGGTAAATTACAATTCTTACATGAACTGTGGCTAAAGACAACTCTTTTAGTTCATTCGGGCTGTTATAACAAAATACCGTAAACTGGGTAACTTACAAACCACAGAAATTAACTTTCCTGAGTTCCAGAAGCTGGGGAGGCCACACCGAGGCACCAGCAGATTTGGTTCTGGTGAGAGCCCACTTTCTGGTTCATAGACGGAGCATTTTCTCTGTGTTCTCACACAGTGGACAGGGCAAAGGAGCTCCCTTGGGCTTCTTCTTCTTCTTCTTCTTTTTTTTTTGAGACAGAGTCTCACTCTGTCGCCCAGGCCGGAGTGGCCGCAATCTCCGCCTCCGGGGTTCAAGCAACAACCCTGCCTCAGCCTCCCGAGTAGCTGGGACTACAGGCACGCACCACCACACTTGGCTAATTTTTTGTATTTTAGTAAAGATGGGCTTTCACCATGTTGGCCAGGATGGTCTCCATCTCCTGACCTTGTGATCCACCCACCTCGGCCTCCCAAAGTGCTGGGATTACAGGCGTGAGCCACCGCGCCCGGCCAGGCTTCTTTAATAAGGGCACTAATCGCCTTCATGAGGGCTCTGTCCTCATGACCTAATCACCTCCCAAGTGCCCCACTCCTAATCCCATCACCTTGGGAGTTAGTATTTAAACATATGAATTTTGGGAGGGTACAAACATTATGTCTATGCCAGTAACCTCCTTTGTGAAGCCTTCTTTAACTCCCACCAATTCTTGCATCCATACTCCCCCTAGCGTTCTTCACATGCTTCGACTATTGCATCTCTTACACAAAATTATTTACATGTCTGTGAGCTCCTTAAATGCAGGGACCATGTCTCAAATAAAGTGTATCCACAGTGTCCAGCATGATGACTGACCTTATAATAGGTGCTCAATAAATGGCAAATTATTGAATCACTGAAAGAATATTTGCTTTGCTGGGATTCTGCCACCTATGTGCCTATTGCTATGTATATAGTAAGGTGAGCTCTGTAGTTTTTTCTGAACTACATTGCTTTCTTCGGAAGCATGAGCCTACCTTTCATTCGTTATTTCATAAGTTGCCTCAGGGAGATATGTCATTTTTAATGTAAGTTTTTGTTACATAACTGATCTGATTTTACAGATGAAAAGATTGCAGTTATTTACATGAGGAAGATATTCATTTTTCTTAGACATTTATAAAGTAATTGGCCCAGCATTTCCAAAATCATTAATTTCACTCTAGAAAGCCATGTATCTAATAATGTACAATAATTTATAATTTTCTTCCCCTTTAGTGAACAAGTATCTAAGGCTTGACTTTGAAAATAACAGTAAAAACTTGAGTGATCCCTGTTCTTTCACGAGGTCAAAACAAAGCATAGCATGGCTTTTTTTTTTCTTTCCCATAACTGACTTTTTCTTCACCCTGATGTTGTTACTTTCTACAGGAGCCATTTATGAGGTTGGGAATCTTGTATTAGGGCCTGGAGCATTGAAGAGAATGAGACCTTTCAACATATTAGTGATGATCAGAATCCAGTGTGCGGAATGAATACCACTGACAGAATTCTAACATCTAACAATGCGTTCACACAATCTAGAGTGAACTCTCACTTACATGTGTAGGTGAGTTTTCCGTAGCATAGTTCCCCTGTGCTATAGTAGAAAAACTAATGGAGTGTTATTAGGAAGGCACATATGCTACAAAGAATCAACATTTATTCCGGAGTCAAAGATGTAATTTTTGTGTTATCTGCTTTTTTGGATCTGAATCAGGTCTATTGTATGTCTGTGTTCTCTCTATTAGCACAGATGTCTGGGTTCTATTTTATTAACTCGGATAATCAGGAGTTGACTATGGAAAGCTAATAATAGATTTCAGATTTCCTTCTGAAAAGCACATAAGCACATGTGAAAGGAAGCACTATTAACTAAACAAACCTCTCGGTTCCTAGTGATTAGCATTTTGACAAGCTGTTGTTTTAGATGAACAATTTAGATCACATGTTACGTAATTTCAAAGTATTTTTAATATATCTTTCAGATCTTAGTAATAAGTAAAAAGTACTTACTTTATTTAAATTTGAAGGAAATGTTCAGGTCTGTTTTAGTCTCCTTAGCATATTTTCTAGTCCATTGATATGTTCTTGGCCATTGATATGCAGCTGGGTTTTATTTCTATTATTAGTTATGATTTTCTAGAACAGGGGAACATTACAATAAATACTATGTTAAGTTCTCTAAGCTAAGTAGTTTGCTACTAACAACATGTTTGTTCCCTGAGGTTGCCTTATATCAAATTAAAACTGGAATATTAAATTTGAAGTGAACCTGAATCATTTCCCTGTATCTCATATTTAGCATATTCCCTTTCAGGCAATAATTATTTGTACTTTTAAAATTATTATTATTATTACTTTTGACACAGCCTCGCTCTGTTGCCCAGGCTGGAGTGCAGTGGCACAATCCTAGCTCACTGCAGCCTCCACCTCCCAGGTTCAAGCAATTCTTGTGCCTCAGCCTCCTGAGTAGCTGGGACTACAGGCACGTGCCAGCACGCCCAGCTGATTTTTGTATTTTTAGTAGAGATGGGGTTTTGCCATGTTGGCCAGGCTGGTCTCGAACTCCTGACTTCAAATGATCCACCCGCCTCGGCCTCCCAAAGTGGTGCGATTACAGGCGTGAGCCACTACACTCAGCCTATTAGTTGCACTTTAAGATTAATCTTAAATATATTAATCTAAAACCAAACGTCTATTATTGGGCAAGAGCTGATGTCGTATGTTCATAATACTATCTTAACAACTTTAAGCATATGAGCTACTGTGGTTGGGGCCTCAATTATTGCTGTTTATAAATTAAATATAAAACTGTAAACACTGAACAAAAATTAGGTGTATTATCAAATTTTCTAAAAAAGCCAGAGAAAGTAAGTTCATTCATTCATTTAACAAATATTCCTTTAGTACTTATAAAATGTTAATATCCAGGCAAGATACTGGAAATAATATAATAGTGGGAAGACATGCTCCCCTCTCACAAAAACTTTGTGGTAAAAAAAAATTTAAAACTAATGTTATTATAGTAAGTACAATATGAACATAGTTATAGGAGCACATAAATCTGGTCAGAAGAATCAGAGATGGTTTCACAAAACGAGTGATGCTTGTCCTGTGACTTGAAGTATTAATCAGATAGATATTGATGGAACATGGTGAGGAAGGAGAAAGAGAGGAGAGGAGGGGAGGGGAGGGAGAGGAGGGGAAGGCAGGGCAGGGCAGGGAAAGGAAGGGAAGGGACGAGAAGAAAAGAGCCTTTGGAATCACAGAAATTCCTACTTAAGTCTTTAGTTTGCCACTTACTATGAAAAATGATCTTTGGGTAAATGACAGTCTTTCAGAGATTCTTCTATTTTTCAAGATAATACAGATGGCAGTACCTAGCATAAAGCTTTGCACGTGGTAGGCTGTCAGTACACATTAGTTGTCCTCAGCTTCATTGAGCCTCATGACAATTTTGATGGTAGATAGGACAAACGGTATTGTCAACATTTTAAAGATTACATTTAAAGAGTAGGCTCACCGTGGTTAGGAAACTTGTTTACAGTCACAGAACCAATAAGTTAGTGGAAGAGCCTGGACTAGACCTCTTCCCACTATACTGTAACAAGGATTCCAGGCTTTTTTATTCATGTAATTATTTATTCAGTCAATAAATATTTCTTGAGCTTCTAAGCATCAGACACATTACTATATACAGATAATACAGTGGGGAGCAAACAGACAAAATCTCTGCTCTCTTTGAGCTGAGAGTTCATTAGAAAATGTTGACGTTATACCAGCAATTTCTCTCTTATTTTGAGACAGGGTCTCACTGTGTTGCCCAGGCTGGAATTCAGTGGCACGATTACAGCTCACTGCAGCCTACACTTCCAGGCGCAAGTAACCCCCCAGCTTCAGCCTCTTGAGTAGCTGAGACTACAGGCATGCAACACCATGCCCAGTTACTTCTTTTCTTTTCTTTTTTTTTTTTTTTTTTGTAGAGATGGGGTTTCACCACATTGCCTAGGCTGGTCTTGAACTCCTGGGCTCAAGTGATTTACTTGCCTCAGCCTCCCAAAGTGCTGGCATTACAGGCATGCGCACTGCACTCAGCCTATGCCAGCAATTTCAATGAATCCTAATGACTGTTATGCAAGGACACATTTAGGTGATCTGGGGGAGTGTATGGCAAGAAAGCATTTTTAATCAAGGGCATCGGGGAAGACCTGTAAAGGGAGGTAATATTTTTGTCAAAACCTGAAAAGTGAGCAGGAATTATGTGGTCACAAAGGAGGGAAGACTATTCCAAACAGTGGCAGGTTTGGCAAAGATATAAGTGAGAACATGATATGGTCAAGGAACTGAAACTGATCTGTAAGAGCAAGATCAAAGAATGGTGAGAGGTGACTGCAGAGATTGGCAGGGGCCAGGTTGTAGAGGGCTTCATAAGCCATTTTAAAGAGTCTGGATTTTATTCTACAGGCAACGTCTGCTGCATTTTCATCGCCACATAAATAAGCCTAACCACAGGGTAAATCGGGTCTGAAATGTGGCTCTTTTCTGCTTATCCCATAGTAGGGGCAATTACCTTTTTTTCAAAATTCTCACAGAGGCTCATATAAGCTTGTGTTGGTCTTGGCGGGAAACCATCTAAGGTTTAGGCAACAGAATGATATCTGATTTGTATGTTTCCATGTTCACGCTAGCTGTGCTGTAGCTTTGCCTAAAGGAGGCAACCAGGATGAGTGAAACTAGTTGTTACAGGTAAGTCAGTAGCAGCTTAGATCAGGCTGTATCTCTGGGAAAGGACAGAGGGTAGATGTCTAAGATGTAGAATTTACTAGGCTTTTGATTGACTGTGAAAGCTAGAAGGGAAGTGGGTGGGAGGGGGCAGGGAGGCTGCTTACTCTCCTGGCTTGAGCAGGAAACCTTAGGGGCCTCAGGTATAATATATCTAAGACTTCATGTTGAGCAAAAACTACTGTAGTGATTCCATGATGGGAAGGTATCAAAATCAGTTGGAACAGAGGGCACAATAAAAGCATTTAAAAGTCTTTTGGGGCCAGCAGTCATGACATTACACTTAAAGGGATGGCTTGCTTTTGTGCAAGCTCTCTCTCTCTCTCTCTTTTTTTTTTTTTTTTTTTTTAATACAGAGTCCCACTCTGCAACCCAGGCTGGAGTGCAGTGGTATGATCTCAGGTCACTGCAAACTCCATCTCCCAAGTTCAAGTGATTCTTGTGCCTCAGCCTCTGGAGCAGCTGGGACTACAGGCATGTGCCACTATGAACGGCTAATTTTTGTCTTTTTGGTAGAGACAGGGTTTTGCCATGTTGACTGGTCTCGAATTCCTGGCCTCAAGTGATCTACCCACCTTGGCCTCCCAAAGTGCTGGGATTACACGTGTGAGCCACTGCCCCTCTTTCTTTTTTTCCTTTCCAGAAAAGCTGCATCTCTTTGATATGCTCATTTTACTTCTTAGGACTCTGTCTATTTCCATTTGGCTAAGTTTGTTCTAAAGGGACATTAGTTGTTACCTGACTTCAGTTTTAATTTAAAAGATGTAGGGAGCTGTAATTATGAAAGTGATTGGACATGTGGGCACCTGATTCATCTCCCTGAGTGGCATTATGACTCACCTTCGTTAAAGCAGTTTTGCTTTGCCTGATGCCTTATCGGTTTGAATTTTCTCTACCCTGTGTGTGAACAATAAGATAAGTTTCTCTCATGGGTCATTCACTGCTCTTCATCTCTACTATGAGTCAGATGTTTTGCATTTCAAAACATTATTCTGCCTATAATTTCCCTCTTTGTAAATTATGCAGAAAATTTCTACCAACAACAGATTCTCATTTACTGACTTTTTAGATTTGTATCTGTAAAACATGTTCTAGTTGCTTTGCCATAATTTAGTGAGCAGTTTTGTGGACAACAACAATTAAAATGAGGTACTGTTTTGTTTTATCATCATTGTCTAAACATCAAAGTGTCTCATTAGTTAAGAGCATAATCATCTGTAAGAAAATCCAAATAGTGACAATTAAGCAATGTGAAAGGTCTTCTTCATTCTTTGCTTCTAGTTGCAGTCGGTTTTCCACCTTTCACATTCAATCCCCTGGAAAGAGCTGTCTACACTTCCTGGACTCACTTTTGGATCTCTCAGTCATTCCTGAAAATTACTCCACTCTTGCACTGAAGTCTCAGTTAGGTCACCACAACTGCCTTTTCCTAAATGCAACGGACAAAGTCTTTATTTTACTTGACCAGTCTGCTGCACTTAACCCTTGAAACCCTCTGCATGTGCCCCTCCACTATCCTGGTCTTCCTTCTACCTCTCCAGTCTCCCTTTGTGAGCACCTCCACCTTGGTCTCTTCCTAAAAGGTACTGTTCTTCATGGCCCTAGATGGAATTCTTGTCTCATTCTACACAGTGCGTTGGATGATCTTAGCCACTTATATGGCTTTATTGCCAAATCGCATACTGATAATCCTCAAAGTTTTATCTCCAGCCTAAGCTGGAATTCCAAATCCCTGAATTCATCTTTCTTTTGACCATTCGACTCAGTTGTCCCAAAGGTACTTCAAAGTGAACATGTCTGTATTCGTTTCTTAAGGATGCCACAAAAAGTACCACAAACTGGGTGGCTTGATACAACAGAAATTTATTCTCTCACAAGTCTGGAGCCTAGAAGTCTGAAATCAAGGAGTCAGCAAGACCATGCTCCCTCCAAATGCACTAGGAAAGAATCCTTTCTTGCCTCTTCCAGCTTCCAGGTGTTCCTCCTCTTGTGGCAGCATAATTTCAATCTCTGCCTCTGTTTTCTCATGGCCTTCTTCTCTGGGTCTCTGTATCCTCTCCTCTTCTTATAAGGAGGCCAGTCATTGAATTCGGGGCCCACCTTTGTTAATTGGTTTTGTTTTTATTGTAAATTCATGAACTTCATGGTGACAGAGATTATGATTTCTACTGGAATCTCTAGCACCTATTATGGTGTTAGTAAATGAACTGTTGCCTAACAAATGTTTGTTGTGGAGCATGAGAAAGGAAGGAAGGAAGGAAGGAAGGAAGGAAGGAAGGAAGGAAGGAAGGAGGAAAGGAAACTGATCAACAAGAATTAATCTGAAAATTTGATAAACAAGCCAAAATAAGTTTAGGTGTGGCTAAATGTAATTTTTTTCTAATCAATATATCAACAAAATACATTAAGAATCAGTGAAATCTTAAGCTAATTTTAAATCATCCTTTATATTCCAGCAAAAATCCGTGGTTCCCATGGATTACAATTATGGTTTCCCATTGCCTATTTAACAACTGACTCTTTTTAGCCTTCTTTATTAATTAGAAAAACAAAGTTCCTGCCTTTCTTGATGCCACAGGATGTGATATTGTTTCCTAAATATTTCTAGAACATGTTTCTAAAAACTACAAAATTAAGCAATTAAAAGCATTGTAGCTCAAAAAAGTTTTTTAACTATTTATAACCTAACAAAATATATTTTGTAGGTGTCAGCCTGCAAGAATGAAAAGAAGCACCGTTTGTAATTTCTATGTGCTTACTTTTATAAAAACATTTGAGCAGCTCTACAAATATAGCTGGTGAAAGCTCTGATTGAATATTTAGGCAACCAATAAATTAAAATGGACCAGACATGAAGGGTTGTATCTACTTTGCCTACATTAAGTAATCCTCCCATGAGAGGATCTGTGGTAGACCTCTGAGCTTGTAATTATTGAAAATGCCCTTGGTTCAACTAAATCAGACAAGGTCATATCAATGCCGATGAGAACAAGAGTGGAAGTGCCTCATTTTCCCACAGCATTCATTATGTAGACAAATAAGGATTACTCCAGGGAGTTAACTATATTCTTTGCAAGAAGGCAAGTTCACAAAAGAGACTCTAAGTCTTGATATTTTGCTCTATTTTGCATTAGTGCTATTTGATGGTATGAAATTCATACAACTTTCAGAACACATAATTATAATATTCACTAATTAAACAGAAAAAGTCAATCAAATTAGATACAGCTAGGAAAATGTCTTAGCATAACCCAGTAGATCTGCCTAGATTTATTGTCATTAAATTATCGTAAGTAGACACTAGGATTCACAACTTAGTGTTTATTATTCTTCATCTATTTTTAGTTTATTTTGACAAGTGGCAGAAGATTCTAGCTTTACTATGTTGTACTTGTGTAATCACTTCCAAAGTCTTCTGTAGCAATTTTCTTCACTCAACAAGATTCATTTTTGAACTCCCAGTAATTTGAGAGGAGTTAAAAGTTTCCTTCCTTTCAGCAATAAAAGTCATCATTGTCAATTAGATTTTTGTAGGTAAATTATCTCTATAATTATTAAGAACTTTTCTAAATGTTTTGCATATTCTCACTAATTTAATTCTCACAACAACCCTAGGTAAGTACTATTGTCATGTCTGATTTACAAATGGGGGATGAAAGCACAGAGCATATAACTGACTTGCCTTCATTGATAGAACTAGAGGTGAGTGGAGCCATGATTTGATTCCATCCATTCTGATTCAGGGCTTGCACTTTGACCAACACATTATTCTGCCTCTCAATTATCTCTTTATATCACATTTGTGATATACTTTAGAAAGTACATACCACTTTCGCTTATTAAAATTATTAATCCACATACACTAGATCTTTTATTTTGTAATTCTTAGTCTGTAAATAGACCTCGAGAAGCAAACCTTTTATTTCTCTAATTAAGTTAGGTCCTTTTGCAGTTGAGTCTCCTTAAGTCAGTTTCCTTAAGCAAAGCATTCAAGTACTGTTCCTCTTGGTGCCTCCCACATATCCATCATGTAAAGGCCAGACGCATAGGTTAACCACAATAGATGCTTCCATTACAAATGGATGGAAGAGTATAGGTACATAGAAGTCACTGGCCAATAGAAATTCTGAAGTCCAGCCAGGTACGTGTTGCCAGTTTTGTCAGTAGGGTTTGGTTCTACTCTCTGAGAGTTGGCCACGACTTTTGGCTCTGCCCTCTGGAGTCTTACTTTCTTTGAGTAATCTTTTCTTTATTGTTATAATAAGTGACCTATGCATAAAACTAAATCTTCTCAGTTTGCTTCCTGCCTATAGCAGTTCTAGAATTCAGAGGCTTCCTTTCATTTTGTACTGTCTCTTTTTCTTTTCTTTTTCTTTTTTTTTTTTTTTTTTTTTGAGATGGAGTCTCACTCCGTTGCCAGGCTGGAGTGCAGTGCGTGATCTCGGCTCACTGCAACCTCCGCCTCCCAGGTTCAAGCAATTCTCCTGCCTCAGCCTCCTGGGTAGCTGAGACTACAGGTGCATGTCACCACGCCCAGCTAATTTTTTGTATTTTTAGTAGAGGCAGGGTTTCACCATGTTGGCCAGGATGGTCTCGATCTCTTGACCTCATGATCTGCCCACCTCGTCCTCCCAAAGTGCTGGGATTACAGGCATGAGCCACCATGCCCGGCCTTCTCTTTTAAACTGGCAGTGTTTTCAGCAACACAATTCTTAAGAACTTCGTGGATTTTCTATGAATCTCATTGGGTTTCAGTCCATTAAACAAAAGCCACAGTCACAAATCTCTTTAAGATAATCCATTCTCTATTTTGTGTTCCCTGTAAGTCTGATGAAAGACACTTCCTTAGATACTTAGAAACCCTATATTGTTTAACAGGGAGGACCTATGAGGCATGTTTTTAAGATCCTCAGAGAGCCTTTTGTGGTTCTTAAATGATCTATGAGGTATAGCCTTAGATCTTTTTGAAGTCTTCACAAATGATCTTATAGTCCCACCCTGGATTTGATCTTTGACTTGAGGCTCTCTTTTAATTAAAGAATTGTTTGCCATCTGGAAAGGCTAGGAATGGCCTGAGTATTCCATCTATAAGGTGAAAGTTGTACTACCTTTTCTGACCTAGCTTGGGAAATCTTGTATTGTTGTTACAAGCAAGTCACAAACCTGTCCAGGTTTAAGGGGGCAGGAATCAGATTGTATTTCTTAATGGGAAATTTACAAGATTCTAGAAGAAAGTATGGGATGGGAGATATTGTTGTAGCCATCTTTGGAAAATAAAATCAAACTAAAAAAACACTAACGTGATTAAACATTTTTAAACATAAACAAATGGTTCACTGGTACTTAAACATGCAAATGCCTTCAATGTAGCTTGAAGAAAATATACACTCTTTTTCTTAAAAATTTGCTTTTGTCTAAACAAATTTTGAAACTTAGCTTCTGGAGTTGCTTTTGAAAAGCTTAAAAGATTTATTATGACTGAATGCTTTGTACTAGTCACAATTCGTTGGCAAAGAACACTTTTATGGTAGTTTAATTATTTTTGCTCTGAATATTTTTTTAAGTTTTTATATTGTGGAAATCTTACTGATGTTCCTAGGAAATAAAACTGTCTACAATGTTTTCTGCAGTGTTTCTTCAGATACTGCTAGCCCCACAAAAGCCAGAGTATAATAGAAACCGCATTTTGTTCAAGAATGATATGCTGAAGAATAATGACCAATTCCCTTAACTTTTCAACATTTTAGTTAACTCAGGCTCACACCCATAATCCACCACTTTGGGAGGCTGAGGCGGGCAGATCACGAGGTCAAGAGATAGAGACCATCCTGGCCAACATGGTGAAACCCCGTCTCTCCTAAAAATACAAAAATTAGCTGGGCCTGGTCACGCGCGACTGTAGTCCCAGCTACTTGGGAGGCTGAGGCAGGAGAATCGCTTGAACCTGGGAGGCGGAAGTTGCAGTGGGCCAAGATCGCACCACGGCACTTCAGCCTGGCGACAGAGCGAGACTCCATCTCAAAAAAAAAAAAGATAGGTGTGTGGGTGGGGTGTGTGTGTGTGTGTGTAAGGTGCAGGTTGTCTTAGATTAAATGAACATGTAAACTTTTTTCATTAAAACAATCAATGTATCCATGATTTAATCAATCCAACCCAGAGCTGTACTGGGATTGATTCAGGAGAATGAGTTTCCTGGACAAACGGTGCAATTAACTAGCTGTGTGACTTCTTTAAAGCCGTGGCAACTTACTTTAATTTGCTGAAATGAGGTGAGATGAGACTGTCATCAAGAGAAATATTTGTTAAATATCTTGTATTTACAAGGCATCCATGTGCGATTTAGTGTTAAAGCAGTTTTAATCATGGCAAGGCTCATATGGGAGAGTAGCCCATTACTTGAACCATGCAATTTAATTTCATCAGGAACATTTCTAAGATTATTCACTGTAATCTGAACTCTCAAGAGACTTCCTTTTAAGAGACCCTGTTACTGATATACTTTGAAGTTCAAAGCAATAATCAGGATTCCTTTCCTCAGCAGCATTTCCTAACAAAGCATTTGAGCTTTTTGTCTCTTCACCTTTCCACAAACCTGAAAATGAAAGCACTATCTGAACACCCCAGATAAAGTGAACTTGGTATTAAAGAGACTGTACAACTGCCCCTTCAAAACAACTGTTCGTTTATGGATAACAGCTATGCTCACCTGAGTGTGCAACAGGATCCAAGAGGAAAGCAAATAAAATTCCCAGATGGTTGAAATTTATGCTAAGGAATTTAAATCAGCATTTTAAATGTCACTCCACTCATGCATTTTTTTTCGTATCCACAGAGTTGGCATGATAATGTTTTATCATATGCATTGAGTTCTGATGCATGTCTGAGGTCATAACTGAGTAAAGAAAAGAAAGAACTTTCCATTAAGCAAACACTAAAGTTCAGAAGTTTATTTTTGAACAGCGAATGGTTTGATAATTCATGTATTCGTCTGTCATTTCTCTGATTTTGTGGTCGAGATCATTTGAAATGCACATGTATAAAATTCCTTCATTTACATTTTACTTCTTATGTTAGTTCCATGTGACAATATTCCACGTTCTAGTTCTTCATTTTCTTAGTATCTTTCACTGCTAACATCTATGGATTTAGAGGAAGAGAGAGGAAGTGTGTGTATTCTTTCTAGGACTAGAACATTGGACATATAATTCTTTTTCAGTTTGATCTCGTCTGTGTTAGTACATTTCCTCAACAGTTATGTATGGAAAGCAACATTACTCCAGTCATTTTTCTGAAAATAGTTTCAAGTTCAAAGAGTTAGCTATAAAGCCTTTGTCCCATTTAGAAATTATTGTATTTAGGGTTTTTTTTTTAACATGTCTTAGAGTTTTAGTTCATTATACCTTTGTCAAATAACACAGTTGGAAATTTGATTAGTTATTATTTGCACATTTAGATCAGAAAATCTGTATTTAGGATTTAGGAATTATGATACTATTACTAACAATGATTACTTTGTTGAGTTTTTACTATAGGTGAGTCATGAAGCTAAGTACATTTTCTAATCTCTTCAAGAATTCCCAGGAGATATCAACATTTCTCAGACAAGGAAAATAGTAACTTTCCCAAATCAACGTAAGAAAGGGACAGACCTGAGAGGTGAGCTCAGCTTTGTCAGGTTTAAAAACCAATGCCCTTATAGCAATGATATACACCAGTGGTTCTCAACTTGGGGTGATTTTACCCCTTCCTCCCAGGGCATATTGGGCAATTAAGGAAGATTGCTACTGGCATCTAGGGATACAGACCAGGGCTGCTGAAAACATCCTACAATGTACAGAACTGTCCACAGCAAAGAATTATCTAGCTCTAGGATGTCAGTAGTGCTGAAGTTAAGAAGCCCTGATATACCCAAGTGCTTTTTTAACTCAACTAACGGATTATCTTAAAACTTCAACTCTGTTCACCAAGTAGCCTTTAAGATAAGGTGATCCAAACTCATAGACTCCAAGTGGACTTGAATTCATTGACTCTAGAAAACAGAATGTGTCCCATTGGGAGGTAGCCGTCATTATTACTTTACAACAGAAAATTTACTTTTAAAAATTCAAAAACACATGAATTGCAGTTTAATCAAGGACAAGAATCCAAGTCAATTTTTTATTTAATTTACATTGATCTATAGTTCCTGGATCTTAGGTAAAAAAATAAAATAAATAAGTAAACAAATTCACATTGAAACCCATAAACAACAAAACTTGGCATACCAGAAACACAAAGAAGATGTGTGATTTAAGATCTTTTAGATAACCATAAGATCTTTTAAGATAACCATAAGAAAGCTTATATTGCTGTAATTTGTTCAGCTAGAAAATTGTAGCTTCTATGGCATATTTCTGGTTACTAAAACATCACCAAACTTCTGAATAAAGACCAAAACACTTCCCATATTAAACATTGAAATAAATGTGAACTATACATACATTTAAGATTAATAAAAACAAGCCAGACAATTATTTACTCTATTATTTCGGAGCCTATCTTTGCAGCTCAGGGTACAAGATGGGAATGCACCCTGGACAGGATGCTGTCCCTTCACGGGGTACACTCATATTAACACCTACACTCACTCAGCCTGGGACCCTGTAGACACACCAGTTCACCTAACATGTGCATCTCTGGGATGTGGGAGGAAACCAGAATACCCAGAGAAAATCCATCCAGACACGGGGAAAACCTGCAAACTCCACACAGACAGTGGCTCTAACTGGGAATAGATTTTTTTTTCCTCACCAACATTATAATGAAATGACATTTGAATGAAACAACATTATTCAAGGGCCTGCTGTACTATTCTTTCCATTCATTTATGTATTTTCTGGGAACCTCTATACTTCTGGAAATCATGTGTCAAATTCTAGTTATTCCAATAAAAAGTCTCAATCAGCACATTCTTTGGATTAAAACAACCTAAGCTAGATCAGGGTTACTGAGACTGAAATTGTAAGGAACTGGCAGCATGGTGTAAATCCAAATACATCACTAAGCATCCAGGTTAGTTCAGCTGGTGTTTTTTTTGTTACATGACTTTCTCAATGAAAGAAGCAATGCATTGATTTACATTCTGGCTTAGTTTCCTTTCCTTGAAGTGGACCAAAGTTCTAAGTCATTCTTAGGCAAAGTTCTCTACTATTTGGCTGAAAGTTTTCATTCTTTAATCCAGTCCACCCTTTCTCAAAGGTAGTTTTCTTTCTCACTTTCGCCAAGTCACTAAAGAAATCTAATTTGTTGGTAATGATTTGTCAGTTAAGCTTGTAAGATTGCATGCAACTAATGTAAGCAGGATTTAAAAAAAAAACAAAAAATGAAACAAGTATTCAAAAAGAGCAGTAACTGGAGCAACTAGGGATATCTAGGGAGAAGAAACTAATGAAAAAGTCTCTTTAAAACACCATCATTGAGATAAATCAGCTGGAAAAAATTTCAGCCTTTGTGTTGTTCAGTTAAAGATTCATATCCCATGAAGTGTCTGACTTGCCTGTATTGGACCAAATCTACATTCTTGGTCAGGGGAGGATGGGCCATTGCAACTGAGACTCTTACCCGTCTAATAGGGAAGGGATAGTTTCTCAGATGCTGTTACTAATGAAGGAGGATTCTAGTCAAGCAAAAACAAAAGATGTCCACCACACTGTCTTTCCTTTTTTCCTCTCCCAATTATCTTGAAACCCTGGGAATTTATTTCTGTATCTTCCAATTGTCATACGATACCTCTTGATGCATCTACTGACTCTTTACAGTTACATGCACATAATGGCCTATTCCTGCCCTTTCCTTGGGAACAATTACCCCATAGTTCCTCTTATTTCTCACTAGTGGTCAAGTTCACTACCACCTCTGCTATGGAACTCCAGGGGTAAGTAAGATATATGTAAAAATGAACCTACACTTGAAATTTACTAGTGATCTTCTTGGATATTTGAAGAAGGTGATTTTCACATCATATTTCATGGTACCTCAAACTTTCATGATCTATCTATGAGGAAGATACTTGCTTTTAATATAGACCCTTGCTGTTTTAATCATAACCAATTCCAATATCATTCCAGAAATTAGGGAATTAAGGCAGGGAAAAGAGTGCAGCTTAATATGACATGGAAGGCATACATTATGAGGGAGTGCAGATGAGACATGATAATTTCAAAATAACCACTGAGATATAAAGGAAATTGTAGTGCCCTGAAACCCTGGCACTGGTACCAGAGTAGGAATGTAAGCAGCTGAAAAAACTTGACACAGTGTACTTTTGCAGTAACATTTTATGCAGAGCCAGAAATTGTCGCATATAAAAATAATGTGCGTGAGTGTGTGTATGGATGTATAAAACTAGGGGAGGAAGTGGGGAAAGAAGCTAATATGTAGCAATTTTTCTATGTATGACAAACCCCTATTTAACAGTCTTGTTTAGGATTTGAAATGAGGATGGAAAACATATCATAAAATATCATTTACAAAGAAAGGAATTTTAAAAAGCAGAGATAATGGAACATTTTCTCTTTATAAACATCTTATTCTTCCCTGAAATCACAAACAGCTGCAGTATATTCTGACTAATTACAAACGAATCATAAGAAACACAGCATGATAAGAACCCTAAGTGGTTTCAGTATGGTGCAAGTTGATTTTAAACCCTTAAGTTCTATGTAATCCATGTTTTATTCACACTTGGGTCATTAGTTTTTTTTTTAAGACATATTTTTTCTTTTTAGGTTCACAGCAAAATTGAGTGGAAGGTACAGAGATTTCCCATATTTCCCTACTCCCCACAAGTGCACAGCCTCCCCCATCATGAACATCCCCCACTAGAGTGGTACATGTGTTGCAAATGATGAACCTACATTAACACACCATTATTACCCAAACTCCATAGTTACAGTAGAGTTCACTCTTGGTGTTGTACATTCTATGGGTTTACACAAATATGTAAGTAGACATGTATCCATCATTGTGGTATCATATAGAATATTTCACTGCCCTGAAAATCCTCTATGCTTTGCCTAGTCATCCCTCTGTGTCACCAATTTTAAAGAAATAATAATAGTGTTAGTTTGGGTCATTTACTAACGTAGTTAAATGTCTTCAGTACTATGGAATATTTTAACAAATAGTAAAGCATTATTATTAGTACAGGTGCCATTTATTAATAATTTATTCTTATTATATACTGGTGAAGTTTACCTTTGCATTATAAGTGGAAAGAAAATATTTTTCACAGGAATGTTTTTTTCCTTAATAATTAGAGCTTAACTATTTTCAGGCAGTAATTTAGCAACAAAGACCTGTTCTTTAGATATGAAATTGTAAAACTGAAGAATTTGGAAGGTTCTCACAGATGAGGGAGTACATTGTATTAGGCTTTTTCAGAGATACAAAACCAGTAAATTCTCTCTCTCTCTCTCAGTATGTATATGTGTGTGTGTGTGTGTGCACATGTGTATACTGGGTACTGTGACCTAGACAAGTTGACACATACCAAGAGGGATAAATTTACTTGCCTAAGAAATAGATTAGCAACTAATTCATCAGATCTTTAATCCTACCCTTCTTCTCACATGTCTTATCTCTTAAATTGTGCGTTTACAGAGATCACTAAAGCTCAGGGACTAGGAAAGGCTTCATCCTACTCTCCTTCCTCCATCAAACTATCACCAAGAGTTTAGGGCTTCCTGGGAGCCTAATCTGGTGCGGCATGTGTAGAGACAACATACAGTAAAATATAATACCCTGGTACACATGCTACCTAGACAAGGACAATTAGAATCTGGGAAACTATTCAATGCTTTGCATAATGAAGAAATAGATTAGGACATACAGGCTCTAAATGCCATACAAAGTGAGCTAACACACACACAAAAAAAGCAGGGGTAGTTTGACAAAGGACAACTTCATCTACCTTCAGATTTTCCTTGGGGTCCAAAACCAGAAACTGTCCCATGATTTGAGGGAGCCTAGCAAGAAAAAAAAACAAAACAGAAACAAAAACAAACAAAAAACCCAGAAACTCTATAGCAGAAGGTGAAGACAACAGTGAATATGAAACCCAGTTTGTCTTTGTCACTGAAACAGAATCTGTCCTCTCATCTGAACTTCAGTAGAGTGCATCGAAGTACTTGTAAGTCTCTTCTTCAATCTTAGGACTAACTATATTCCAATGTTTGTTGTTTTCATGCACAATGCACAATTTCCCCCAAGATTCTGATAAATTATGGTCATTTTTAAAAGGCAGTAAAATTTTATGAGACCATGATATCTTAGCTACAGTTCCAACAGGTAATTAAATTCTAGACCTGTGAAATTTCAACTAGTTAATTAAAGTAATATTTCACCCTGAAACTAGTGTATGTGTAGTGAAGCCAGGTACTTATTAACAAACAATTACCTTCCATCCAGAGGGCAAAAACCTCCTGAGACTGGGAAAATGTGCTGTGACTATATAATTTTTATTGAATTCATTGCATGTCTGTGTGTCTGTTGCCTGTCTTTTAAAGAGATTCTAGTAACTCATCTGGATCCACTGGCCTTCTTGGGTTTCTAGCTGCTTTCTTTATTCCCTTTGCTAAAACTCAGCCTAAATCCTTACTGTTTGTAGGTCCATGATGACAGGATTTCTTGGTGCTGTACCCATCATCATGTTCCATAAGCCATAACAATAATAGCTGAGGCAGGCTATCCCTGCCAATATTTCCCCTAAATGCTCTCTATTTTTTAAGTCATGGCCAAGCACTCTAGATCCATAGATCTTTGTCTAATCAACTTTGTTGTTAGCACTGACAGCTGAGACAGCTCCACCAGTGCCTTTTTGGCCCTAGAAGGTGGATCTAGTGCAACCCTATCATATCTATGCCGTTAGCTGCTGAAGACTAATTTTTTGTGCCTCCTTAAGTAATCTAAGAATAACAATCATGCCCCACTAATCTCCTACACACTTATAAGGGTCTTCTTTATGTTCTATCGTATCTCATCCTATATTTGTACAATGTTCTTCACCACATTTTTTAACTAAAATTTTCAAACAGTCAAGTTGAAAGAACAGTGTAATTAACGTATGCCCATCACCCAACAACCTACATTCAAGAGTTAACATTTGCCATATTTTATCTATCTATCTATCTATCTATCTATCTATCTATCTATCTATCTGTCTCTGTCTGTCTGTCTATCCGTCCGTCTGTCCGTCCGTCCGTCTGTCCGTCCGTCCATCTATCTATCTATCTATCTATCTATCTATCTATCTATCTATCTTTCTATCCATTTATCTATCTGTCTATTTATCTATCTTTCTATCTTGCTTGCTGAAAAATTTGAAAATAAATTCTGGAGATAATGTTACTCCTAAATATTTCAGTATACATATAGAAAAGAGCATTCTCTTAACCGTAATACCTTGCACACTGAGAAAATTATAATTTCTTAATCAAGTGATATCTAATCAGCCTATTTCATCTAGCATCTGTCTATCTAATTTATCCAATTTTCCCCAAAATGACCTTGCAGCTGCTTTTTCAAACCAGGATCCAGAGTTCACTTATTTAATTTGATTGTTACATCACTCAAGTTTCTTTAAGTCTAGAACAGTCCACCAACATTTATTTTTGTGATACTGACTTTTTGTTGAGATGATGACAATTGTCTTGTAAAATATATCACATTCTATATTTGTCTGATTGTTTAACTTGTCCTTTTATACCTGTACTTTTTATAACCTGGATATTAGGTCCAAAGTCTTGGGCACATCTAGCTTAAGCATTTGGCAAGAGTATGGTACTTCATAGGTGATTCTGAGTACCTTATATTGCATCACATTAGGAAGCATAAAATATCAGGCTTCGCTCTATTGGTCATGCTAAATTTTATCACTTTTAGGGTGGTTACTACTAGATCACTTCATTGCAAGGTCTGTTTGCCCTTTGCAATTAGCAAGTAAACTGTGGGGTAAATGAACTGTTGGGAATGACATCAGGTATTCCCCAGTGAACTTTCACGTAAGGGTTTATCATTCTTTGATGATCCTTGATGGGAACAGTGGTTTCATTGGGATTGCAAAATTCTGATTCTCTAATAATATTATTCCTTCTACGTTTATTGGCTGTTAATCTCTTATAAAGAGCTTTCCAAAATAAAATGGGTATTGGCGACAGCTTTTCCCAAAAAGGTGCGATATTCTGAATTATTTTTTTAATTGTCAAATTTTAGAGTGAAAAGTTGGTTTATTAGTGAGCTTTGATAGTCGTGTGTCTCTCTATCACTCTCTTCATCTTATTCTTTTTTCTTTTCCGTTTTCTTTTCTCAACCACTGTAAAATTGTGAATTTTTATATGTTCAGTGTTTTACAATAAATGACAACAGATAGTGCAAGAAAAAATACGCATATATTTTATACATCTATAATGCATATATAATACTTACTGCATATGAAGGATTTTGATTAAATTTTAATATTATAAGTTTCTAACTTTGATCTTATATTGTCTCTTTTCTTTTATAATGAAAATCTTAGTTTCTAAGACATTCATGTTTGTTTTATCCTAGCATATAAAGTAGGTTCTAATGAGAACAAAACTATTTTTAAATACTTTTTAATTATTTTATTTTTTTCTAAATTTTAACTTTTATATTAGATTCATGGGGTACATGTGCAGGTTTGTTACATGGCTATATTGCATAATGCTCAGGATTGGGATATGATTGATCCTGTCACCTAGGTCGTGAACATAGTATCCAGTGGGTAGTTATTCAACCTTTGCCCCCTTCCACCCTCCTCCTCTAGTAGTCTCGAGTATCTGTTGTTCCCATCTTTACATTCATGTGTCCCCAATACAACAAAACTATTGAGTGAAATTTAAAATTTATTTGAATCACTTTTTGTGCTTACAGTATATCCTAAAATTGTAGTCATAAAAATATAATCAGAATGCTTTGCCAAAAGTCACTTGAAATAATTTTCTCTCCGAGTCGTATTACTAATTTAAAATAGAGTTAGGCTTATTTATTCTGGTTTCCTTTTAATTTTAGGATTTAACTTTTCTATTTTCATTTGTAAAATTATATAAGGCATTTACATAGTTCAGATGTCAAAATTATATAAAAAGGTGTACTCAGAAAATTCTTCTTTCCATCTATTCCCTACTTTATTCCTCCCATTCATCCGCTATGTTATCATTTTTAAGAATTTTCTTTTTACAACACACACACACACACACACAAGCACACACACATACTCTGCTCTGAACCTTGAATTTTCCACTTAATACATTCTGACCATTACTTCTTATCAATACATAAAGACAGTCTTCACTTCCTTTAAGGTCTGCATTATGGTATTTCATTGGGTAGTATGTCATTGTTTATTCCATTATTGCTATTGATGGAAATCTGAATTACTTGCAGCCTTTTACAGCAGTAAGTAACCTTGTACATATGTTGGTTTGTTCTCCTGGAACTCTCTCTCTTGGGGAATATTCATAGAAGTGGGGTTCCTAGGTCAAAAGAAAATCTGAATATAATTTTTTAAAATACCGATTAATTCTCTTTCAAAGAGCTTTTGCCATTTTGCACTTCCATCAGTAATGTGTAGCTCACAGACTTCTTTCAAATGTTTGGATGTGTGCCAATCTGCTAGGTAAGAAATCTCTCAGAATAGCATTCATTTGCATTTTTCTTAGTATGAGTGAGATTAAGCAATCTTTTAGGTGCTCAGGGGCCATTTCTCTTCTTTTTATGAAATGCCCACGTCTTTTGCCCAATTTTCTATTCGGATTTTGAATTTTTCCTTCACTATTTTAAGATCTTTTTATATATTAGAACAGACTAGTGGTCCCCAGCTGGGGATGATTTTGCCTCCCTCCTCACTCCTCTCCCCACGTTTTTTGGCAATGTCTGGAAGTATTTTTGGTTGTCACACCTGGGAAAGGGGTGCTATTGGCATTTAGTAGGTAGAGGCCAAAAGTACTGCCGAATGCCCTGCAGTGCAGAAAACAGCCCCCATAACAAAGAATTATCCATCCCCAAATGTCAGTAGTGCTGAGCTTTAGAAACACTGGATTAGACCTTCTCCTGTGATATAAGTTGCAATATTTTCATCTGGTTTGTGATTTGTCCTCTGATTTTGTTTATGATGATTTTTTTTGGCCATTTCTTTTTTTTAAGTAGTTGAATTTCTCAATCTTTTCCATTATTGCTTCCGTATTTTGAGTCATAGTTAGAAAGGCTCCCTCACTCTTAGGATATAAGGGATTTCACTGTGTTTTCCTCTAGATCTTATATGGTTTTATTTTTTACATTTATGTAAAATTAATCTTGAGATAATGTATAAGATAGAATTCAATTTTTTTTACTTTTTCCAAATGTCTATCAAGCTGAACCAATATCACTTATTCTAAAGATCATCTTTCCTCCCAGCGATTTGAGATGCCAACTTTGTCATATACCCAATTTCTATATATACCTGGGTCTATTTCTGGACTTTCTATTTGTTTCATCATCCTTCTGTCTATTCATGGGCCAATACCACACTGTTTTAATTATAGAGGTTTACAACACAGGGATATAAAGCAGAGAGTTAGTTACACAGATGATGAAATAATAGAGGAGCCATACTGGGGGCAGCGAGGTGACCTACAGGCTAGCAAAAGCAAGAAGCCATTAGTGTCCTGAGGCTGAGAGACAAAAGGAAATGGTGGTTATCAGAGCCCGGGAACCAAGAAAACCAAGGAAATAATGGAACCATAAAAAAGGGACAGTCATCAATGGAGATACTTCCCAAGGCAGAAAGAAAGGGAGAGAAATACCCCTGACTTCTCCCTTCCTAACACCTTCCAGTCTTGCACAAGTGCTTCTAAATGGCTGTTCAAGCCCACCCAGAGCCCGGCTGATTTGGGAGTCTAGAGAAACACAGTCCAGAGGGGGCTGCCCCCTGTAATACAGAGAACAGAAGAAGAGAAAAGATGAGCTCTTAGGGCAAATAGATCCAGGTCCAGTGACGCTGATTTTCTTAGTCCAAGGGCTACTTCTGTTGACATGTAAAGGATGTAAAAAATTGTTTATTTTTTCATTTGTTGATTTTTATTATTCTCTTTCTTTTCTTATTTTTTTATACAATTTTGTTTCAGTACGACCCTATTTTAAGCAACTTCTTTCTTCTCCTTTGTAATCAAACCTCCAAGGAACTCTTGTACTATTAATATTTAGAGTGCCCCCTTCTCCATCAGAAGAGGTACCTGATAGAGACCGCCACTTCTGGTCTTGCCCGCTAAGTTGCTTCTGACTCCCCAGCATTCAGCACTCTGATCCCCAGGGATCAGACCTGTTCTGAATACTTTCTCATTTAGAATTGGACCCAGAACCACCCTTAGGCCCAGGGAAGTGTAGTTTTTGCCTCAGGCCCTGTGCCTTAAGGGCCCTGATCCATCCATATGGGCCCGGGTTCCTATTTCTTACCTTTGAGGCACTCTACAACTCTCCACTCTCTATACCCGGAATCATCCACCTGACCTGTAAGAACTCTGGGGCTCACACCCTTCTGAGTTGTCCCAGGACCCATGGCCAGCCTTGATTTCAGGAGAGCAGCCTGGCTAGTGGATCCCTCCTGCTGGCTACCACAGTATTTCTTTTGTGGGATCACATGAAATTGGTCTATCAGATTGTGCTGATATATGTACTTGGGTGACTCAATGTCTGACATAGGATGAGTTTCAGAGCTCTGGGCTACCAACTATTTGTCACTGACCTTTGGGCTTGAGCTTTGGGCCTCTGTGTTAATGCTCACTGGTGTGTGTCTGCCCATGTGGGCAGCCCTTGTGGGCGGCAGGAGCTGCAGGAGGTATCCTCAACCCAATGTACTCCCAGCCACTGGCACCCAAGATGCTTACCCCAATCCCTCTGCAGGCTCCATGCCACATGTCAAGCAGTCCTCTGGGAATGATCATTCTGTTTTCCGGTAAGACTCTTCTAGATTGTTGCTCAGCATGGCCAGTGGATCCTTTCAATCAGTATTCTACAATTGATGCAGTGATATTGTGTTCTTTGGGGTGGGGGGACCAATTCTAAGCCATGCTGAATGAACAATGGACATTCATTTACAGAAATAGAAAGTCTCTTCTCTCACTGCCCCTAGGACCCTTGTCTATCTTCCTCATTGGTGGCAGTTTGTGGAAGGTGGGAGTATAGCAATAATCAAAAGCAGTCAGCAATGCAATCAGTAATGCAGTGGTTTTGATCTAAATAGTTGAGGAAACACATGGTTGGAAGATAAGTTTATGATATAAAACTACCATCAGTAAAAACATGACCAGAAAACAAACCATCATTCACATTATCTGAAATACTCTGGGAATGACTTGCGTTCATGACCATCAATGCCATAACAACCTTCAAGAGAGTCACCGAAGTCAGAATCCACAGGGTGCATGATAGATGATGCAGTGTCATGAGTAATTATGTACAGCATTAAGTAAATGATATTAGAGAACTACAGGTACAAAATGGTCTGTGTTGCTTAAATACACACAGTTTCCAAAGAGCTATGGCAGTAACAATAATAGCATTGCTACATTTTTCTCAGATGGGAGATGCGGAAGTAGTTAGGCATGGGACATATGACAATAGGGAACATGAAGGTATGGTTTCTGGATCTGAACAGAAATAGGCAGTAATCAGACACTACAAAGAATCTTCATGTGCACTGATTGTACAATAAACATGTACAATAAACAAATATATATATACTGCTTGTCTACTCATTATTCTAACTCTTCATTAATAAATCACTGTACTTTGCATGAGTCCATGAATTTGCAGTACATCTTTAATCAAACTGTTTATATAGACAGGAGTCCTGCAAAAAATAAAATATTTGCCCAGGATCTTACAAACTTTAAGGGTGGTACTGATTGGACTCTCTCCTTTTGGGGGCATTCTTGGAGACAGAAGTCAATTTACATGTAAGTGGGAGAGATATTCATTTAAGACCTCCAAAGCTGGCTTCAGAGCCCTCCCCTTGGTGAGAGGGAGGCTAATTGTATCTATTTGGAAACATGCCTAGTTTTCCTCTTATATATACAAGTCCCCTCCATCTCACTAAGGTAAGGGCTCTGGAGCCAACTTTGGTGGTCTCAAATGAATATATCTCCCGTTTACATGTAAGTTGGCTTCTGTCTCTAAGATATGCTCTGGTATGGGTTATGGTGATTTTATTTGTCCTTGTTTGATCTGAAAGGTTTGTTGCATAAAGGTTTGTTGGATTCAGAGTTAAATAGTTTGTATTATCCTATTGGAATTAAAACTTAAAGGCATAGTCAGGTTTTTGGAGGTCGGAAGCTTATATAATTTTAGAGGTCCCCTTTAATAATAGGATTATCATATATACATTAGGTACAGGCTCTGAAAGGTGTTGGTGTAAATCAAGGGTCCTGAAGCTTAAGCTTCATGACCTGTGTGGTAAATCTGCCTCTGCTGGAATGCTGACTATTTTTCATCTCAATGCAAAATGTTGTCTTTATTACTTCTAAATTTCACCTTATTAAATTTCTTGGTAGCCTGTATCACTTATACGCTGTATTATTTATTTCCTTTGGCATCATGTCATTTGTTAATCATAGCATTTCATCTGCTTTTTTACTTAAGTCAATGGTAAAATAATGAACAAGTCTGTTAAAGATTTTACTAAATACATTTTATTGAAATATTTGTTATTAAGGGAAATAATTTCTTCTATAATTTCTCCCTTCCTTTACTGCCTAGTTTCTAGTTTCTCCTTTAAGTTTTACCTTCCTATTCTATCACTTGTCTTTTTTACTAAAAGTGGAATTTGTGAAGTCTTCTAAACATTTAGTTTCTAAGCATTTTTTTATAGGCTAAGTAGAGGAAGGAGTCTTTTATCTGCATTAACCATAATGAGGTAATGAAAAAAATTTGCCTAATCTTTGCAATATGTTTGACAATTTAATAGGATATCTATAACCATCCTCCATGTTACAATAATTTTTAAACATCACTGAGATGTGCAATTCGACCCTAGTGGAAATAATAATTATTTACTCTTAAGATCAACTTGCTTTGGGTATTTATCTCATAATTCCCTTAATTAAGTCATCAAATATGAATAAAATAACAAAGACATTTTAAAACTTAATTATTTCCATGCTCCTAGACCCCCTACTGGGATAAAATGTATCTTTTAGAGGTTGTTGAGCTGTCTTCAGAGGAGAAAATGTAAAAATTAGCAGATAACTTGACTGCGTTTATTAAGATATGGGACTATAAAAATCACCCTGAAACTTTGCAGGTAAAATACATGCTTGGAAATAAAATTTCAAGAACTTTATAGCAGATATTTTTATAAATATATAGTAAAATGTGTTAAGATACCGTAATAAAAAATTCAAGTTCTTGTTTAATTTCTGCTTCCATCTATGTAACTTTGGATATGACAGACATTTAATATCTTCAAATTAAGCTTATGACCTGAAGGACTTTTTCATCTCTTCCATTTATTAGGCACACTTTAACATGAAGAATTTAAATTCTTAAGTCATATTTTCTGACCTTTAGCCACTTAGTTTGGGCAATGTATTTTATGTTTCTAAACCTCAGTTGCCTTATCTATAAAGTAAGGACAATGACAGAACCCCTCTCGTAGGATCTTTCTTATGAAGATTGGATATGAGATAATATATGTAAAGATAATGTATAATGAAGTCTCTCAGCAGACTGACAGGAAATTTTAACTCGTCTAATGTTGGCGGTGAGTATAAGGTTTTATTATATCAAGTTATTTTATAGGTATAGATAAAATTGCTAAGGTTATAGTTGTCATAAAATCCCCTCCACTTTTTAAGACACCAATAGATTTTAGCAATATGCTATCTCATTTCACTAAGCTGTGCAATGTCCTTATGATGTGTTAGGATATTGTCTACAATGAAGTCGATTATTAGGATTTTCTTCATAATTATTTTGGATTGATAATGTACTTTTAAAATGTATAATTATCTTCCTACATGGCATATATGTTTTGCTTCACTTTCTTCCTGGCATTTGGAATTTCCATAGATGCTTTCATGTACTGATATAAGTATTTAGTCATCTTAATTACTTATGTGAATGTTAAGGAAATGCGAACAGAAAATATATTCAAATTTTTCCTTTGAAATTAAATGTGGTCAAATGTTCATCATTTCCCCCACCCCCAGTGTGCTATTACAAAGTGTAAACAAATCACGAGTTATCCCAATGATTATGTGATTTTAGAGGTTTTAATAATACATTTATTCAATCAATTTGAAAATGCCATATAGATATTCAAATTTAAAGAAACAGACAAGATTCACTGAATCATATTAAAGCTAGTTTATTAACCATATCATATTGATGATATATTGACAACACTGCTAGAAGGTTGACTCCAAACTTCTCATCTGTTTGTACTCTGAACACTTACTAATTCTGAGAAATAGCTTTAGAGACACATTATTAACTTCCCATTCAACATACTTTTCCTTCTCTTCTTTCCTATGTTTAATTTAGGTGATACAGTACAATACCAGGCATCAAGGAAGGAACAAAAGCCCTGATAATAAGGAGTTACTTAATAAAGCGTTTGAAATGAGACTTTCAAAAATAGTTTGTTTTTATCAGTTTTCTAAAAAGTACACCTAGTACTTGATTCGTCAACTTTTTCTGTGATGACAAACCACAAAATATTTTAATTTTTTTTATTTTTAATGTTTGTGGTTACATAGTAGGTATATATTATTTATGGGGGTACATGTGATGCTTTGATACAGTCATGCAATGGGAAATAATTACATCATAAAGAATGAGGTATCCATCCCTTCAAGCATTTATTCTTTGTGTACAAACAATCCAATTACACTCTTTTAGTTATTTTTAAATGCACAATTAAGTTGTTGTTGACTGTAGTCACCCTATAGTCACCCTGCTGTGCTGTCAAATAGTAGGTCTTCTTCATACTTTCTATTATTTTTTGTACCCATTAACCATCCCCACCTCCCCGCAGTCCCCCAGCTACCCTTCCCAGCCTCTGGTAACCATCCTTCTAGTCTTTATATGCATGAGTTCAATTGTTTTAATTTTTAGATCCCACAAATAAGTGAGAATGTGTGTTTGTTTTTATGTGCCTGGCGTGTTTCACTTAACAGAATGATCTCCAGTAAACCGCAAAATCTTAATGGCTTACAACAACAAAGATTTATTTCTTGCCCACAAGTTTGCAAGTGGCTCAGACTAGGTTCAGCTTGGCGTGGGTCAGTTGTTCTATTCCACACATCTTTTCATTGAGAGACCCAGGCTCAAGAAAACCACTATTTTGTACATGCTGTGCTTATGAAAGAGGACATAATCTTAAGAAAGTGATGAGAAGCATGTAGCACTTCTTAAAGCCTTTCTTGGGATTACCACACTGTCTCTTTCACAATATTTCATAAGTCAAAGCAAATCACAGGGACCAGCCCAAAATCAGTGGTCAGGGAATATACTTTGTCCACAGAGAAGCTGTGATGAGGGAGGGGATGAATAGTTGTGAACAAATCATGCAATTATGTATAGTATATTATTTAGTATTCGATATTTGGCCTTTAGAAACCCCTGCACTCACACTGGAATTACTGGTTCTTTTTATGTACAAGGTAGAGTCAGAATTTTAACATTTTAGAGGTAGTAAGGACTTTGAAGAGTCTGTAATCCTATTAATTCATTTCACAAATAATAAAATAGTGTGACCTGAAGACATTAAGTGACTCTTGCCATGATGAGATTCTGTTAGTGACAAAGATGGATGTCAAACCCAGCTTACTGTTCTCCACAATTAATGCATTTTGCTGCCAGTCAGTTAATTATTTAGTCGGGATTAGGTATTCTCTGAGAAGTGAAAAAGAGCAAAAATTCCAATTCAAAGTAGAAAAGCTAAGAGTTTACTGTAGTTTTCTTCTCAGCCTAGAAATATTTCATCATTCAATTTCAGTTCTGCTAAAATTAATTGACTGTTTAAACTGAGCTGTATTCTACAGCAAGCCCTGCAAGTGAAAACATGTAATGAAATACTATTAACACTTTACCAAAACCATGGAAAGAATAGAGAAACAAGACTGTAAAAAGTGTAATTGGTATTTATATTACTATCAGGATATATAAAATAAACAGAAATAATTAAACGTGGTTTACACTAAATTAACTAGTATCCTGCCTGAAATAAATATATAAAGATTAAAAATACTGTTAAATGTTGATCGATACTTGAAGCATTAGTTTTCTTTAGGCATATTTGGTCAAAATGGGTTAATGACATCATATTTTGCATTCCCCGTTACACGAGGTGAGTGGTACCTATGTAAATGAACACAATTTTTAAAGATATTGTTAAGCTGATTATATATGGAAATCATTCATTTAAAGGAACATTTTTTATATCTTTTTTAACAATAAGAAACTATTTTCATAAGCCTCAGCACTCCTATAGAAAGAATAATTGTATTATTTTTATAAGCTGTATTTTTTATGCTCTTGGCACACTTAACTACAAATATTTCTTTCAATCTTTTTAGAAAGTAATTATTTATGGTTTTATTCAAGCCACATAGGTAGTAAGCAATGAACCCTGGAGAATAATGAGTATGAAACTATCTACTTAAATAATAAAATATCCTACTAAATATAACAAGAGAGAAAGGTAGGAAAATGGGAGCTAACATGTACATTAAGGGTAGATACCAGATATAAAAGTAGTAGACTAGTTTGTATCAAGTGCCTGAATTATAGAGGAAATGCATAAAGTTGGATAACAGAGCAATATTTCATCCCGAGCTTCCAAACCAAATGAGATACTGGATCATTAGAGCAACTTGAATGAATAAATGGATGAAATATATTTAAAAGAATTTTGAAAAGAACAATGGGGTAGAGAGATCAATTTCTTTATTTCATTATTGTCTTGATGTTTCTGCCTGGCCAATTTCTCTTTATATCTCACACACTTTAGATTTTAGTTTCATTTCATCTTCTGTGGCAAGCTTTTCTTTCTCCCCCATGGCTGTACCAGTGGCTGCTCATAGCATACTCTACTTGCCCTAGGATAGCCTATCTGTAGTAGAATTCCCTGCTTGTTTGTTTAGTTCTACCTCCACATTCTTTTAGCTCCATAAGGGATGGGACTATGTCAGTTTTACCTGTTGTTCTATTCATGTCATCTGACACAATTCCTGACTACATATAGGGCATTCTATAATATTTGTTGTTTGGATGATGTGTGATGGAGTAGAATTCTGTGCCTGTGTGTGTGTGTGTGTGTGTATGCATGCACACACATGCACAGTGAGGGGCAGGCAGGAACTTTTCCCGGCAAGATACTAGAATGTGTTAAACTTACCAGTTAAAAACTGTGGTACTAGTAGGGTCTAGATATCCATGGAAAGTAGTAGAGTTTAAAGACCCTACTAAATATGAAAATGTAATGAATTAAACTTACCACTTGGAAAATTGTAGATACCAGTAGAATGTAGAAATTTATGAAACTTAATAGAATATAAAAACCCTACTAAATATAAAAACCATGATATTTTATAGGGGAAGCATCAACATGTTATGGGAAGAATGAATTATACAAATGATATTGAGAATAGTCACTATTTAGAGGGGGTAAAATAAATTTCAATGGATTAAATAGTTAACTTCAAATAACATTGAATGAAGTATGGGTCTTGTGTTTACTGACTTCTACATGGGGGAGAATGTCTAGTAATAAAATCATGCAACTAATTATAAAGAAAATAATCAATATGTTTTACTACATAAAAATTAAGATCAGCTGAATGCCACAAAGCAGTGTATGAAAATTAAGAAGTAAATGTTAACCTATATAAAAATTAAAAAAATGGTAACTATCTTAACAATAAAAGGAATTCCTAAAAATTAGTAAGAAAAACATCCTTATGTTAGTAGAAAATTGGGAAAGAAAATAGACAATTTGAAGAATAGTATTCAATTGGAAAAACATGTTCCACCTCATTAGCAATTGAATAAATACAAATTAAAGCAGCAGTATAATGCAATATGTTATGAAAAAAATAGAAAACATTAAAAAGTTGTAATATCTAATGTCTAAGAGCAGGCTAAGAAGGGCATTCTTATCATGTATTGTAGTTACAATATGAGTTGATACTTTTCTGAAATGTAATTTAGCAAGTATCAAGATCCTCAAAAATGTTTATACTCTTTCAACTAGTAATGTGATTTATATATGAGGGTTTTTTCACCTAATTTATTAAATAAGTATTAAATTTTGTACCATGGACAAGACACTGTGTTATGTGTTAGGGACATAATAGTAGGCAAAACCACCAAGGCAATTACATCTCAGGGAGACACAGACACATAAACAGATGATGAGTATAATACTAATACTTAAATAGCTTATGTTCTCAGGCAGCGTTCTAGGTGCTTTCTGTATATTAAACTTATTTTATCCACCCAACACCCAGATGAGGCAGGTACTATGATCTTACTGAAGTCAGAGAAGTTAAGTGTTTTTTCTCTAAATCACTCAGCCCATGCTGGAGATGAGATTTAAACTCAGGAGCATGGTTATATCCACAGGGTTAACTATCATGCAGGGATGGGTATAATGCAAAGTGTATTATTTAAAATGCTAAAAAGTTGCCTAACAATAGAAAAAAGGGAAATCAAACCATATTTAAATGATAAAATTTAATTATTTAGTCATGAAAAAAATGACACTTTCCAAAAACTTATAGTAACATGGAAAATATTTTTAATATAATGTTAAATGAATAAAGCTGAATCCAAATCAGCATATGTAAAATGAACCCAATTTTATTATTAAAAAGTGTTATAAATAGATACATGTATTATACATATTTATATATACATAAATAGATGTATTTGATTCCTTCACTAGATTCTCAGTTGACGAGGAGGCATTTGATAGGTTTGTCACTGTACACCTAACAATTACTATTGTGCCTAGACCTAATAGATGCTAAATAAGTTTTAAATGAATACATGAGTAGCCAAAAAAAAAAAAGTCTAGAAGAATATGGACCAAAATACTAGCATTAGTTTTCTCTAAATTCTGGAATTATAGCTTATTTTAGTTTTCTGTTATAATTTTTTAGTATTTCCAAAATTCTCTCTAGTAAACACGTATAGACTTAACTGGCTTCGGTTTTTAAAGAGTAAAGCAGGTTTTAAAGGGAACTCATGTTTAAATATTAATAGCATTAACAACCATCTGTCTTAGATAGCTTAGGCATCAATCTGCTGGAAGATAGGAAATTGAACCAGATGGCCCTCCAGGATTCCTGTTAAATACAGGTTACCTGGTGTACCAGTTATCAAGTTATTGTATCTCATCTGCAAATTTATACTCCATTGCCTGTTCTGCAAAAATGGAGATGAGCCCTTTAAATATTTTCCTTTGCCAGCGTGTACAACGTTCAGCTTGGTCAATTGAAGCACAGGAGGAAGGAATTTTCCTTCCTGATGCTGGCATGCTCTCTCAGCAGGCTCCTCAGTGTAAACAGCAACTGCACCATCAGGCTCGCACAATGCCAGTGCGTGGTGGTCAGCAGCACCCACTTTGGACAATTTCATAGAGGAGAGACTCCAGAGAGACACATGCCTATAAACAGTTTTCCCTGGCATTCTAGAGAGCAGATTTCCATAAAGTTCTGAAGGGCAGATCTTCAGCAACTTACGCTGGCACAGCATTCTATTCAGTGCCTGCCATTCCACAAGCCATGGCTGTGCCCTCCCTGACAAGGTCCAGATCTCAGCCTTCAGGGTAGGCAAGCGTCTTCGTTGGGCATCTATATCAGTTCTAGAGTAGTGGCTGTTCCTTATATCTGTTATTCCTGTATATTTTAAGAGTACCCTTTACTCCTTACTGACCAATCCCTCAATATTCTAATCCCCTGTTGTAGTTGCTAATTCTTTATACATTAAACTTTTCCTGTTCAATTATTGTAGTTTCTGTCCTCTGATTAGACCCTGGATTTTATAAATTTTAATAATTTTATTATAATTTCCATCCTTTTCTCTTCACTGAGAAAAGGTAAAAGATATAAATAAAACACTACGAAGGGTAGGTTTGCCACAGAGATCAATAACTATAATTATTCAAATATGGAAAGGAGATAAAAGGATCCCAAAACATATACCATTCCAAATAAATGGACAGGTACATGGTGTAAGCTGGGTAAATAGTTCTTAAGTAGGGAGGGAAGAAATGTAATGTATTAAAGAAAAATATTCCCTTCTGCATTGGCAAACAGCATGAAAGCAGAGTTATTAGCAAACATGGTATTATAAGGGGGCAAACTATTAGAAGACAAAACGACAAATGTAAATGAGAAATGAAATCTGAATCTCCATGCAGAGGCCACCAAATCAGAAAGCCAAGCAAACAGAAGTGAGCTTCTTTTTGCAGGGCAGTGAGGCTTATCTAATTCTGAATAATATGATTCTCCCAAATTAGTATTACTCACCTTTTAGTCAAAAGACAACTAAAAAGGCATTAAAATAACAGAATGAACCTAAACTTTGGTTAAGGAATAAATTTGTGGCAGGAAAACAATGAATAAGACTGCAAATACTTCAAATTGCAGATCTGAAGTAATTGTTAAAGTGAATTGCACAGAGAAATTAGCATCAAAGCCAAGGAAATAATTCTAGCACTATCCCAATCTCCACTTACCAATTATGAAACCTGAAGCACAGTCACCTTATTAAATGGGAGTTAGTATCATGATTTAGCAATTCCGCTCTCTTAGGTCACAGACTGTCTGGGTTTAAAATTGGGGATTCAAAGAAATGGTTATTTACAAAGATTTTGAGATAAATGTTTTATCAATTAAAGGAAATAACACATGCAAAACATTTGGCATATTATATTGCCTAAAATAAGCACTCAATAAGTATTAGATATCATACTGTTAGTTATTAATAGTAATACAGTGATCATATTGACCTTTTATTGACATCACACATCATTATAATGCCTTTGTGTTTTTTCTGTAAAGAAGCTACTGTACTAAGAGCTGTGGAAGGTACAAACACCGTTGGATATGCTAATACCCTCCCAACTTTCTATTTCCTATCCCAAAGATTGTTTGAGTCATATACTTATCTCTTACTGAACTTAAAGTCAATAAAAACTTCTGGGTGGTTTTTTTCTCCCCTGTCAACTGTTATTATTCTGCAGGTCTCCTATCCTTTACTTATGCAATTGATTTTGCAACCTAAATCCACTTAGTAATCTTATCCATGTTAATATTATGGGTGTTTGGCCTAGTAGTACGAGACTCAAAGTCATTTTAGCATTTATTGTATTCATTCTCTTTCTTAATGGTGTGACAACAGTGGGTTCAATGAGCATTTCTTTTGGGTATTCATCCAAATAATAGATAAATGATTCCTATTTAGTGAGTGTCTGTTATATGTGAGACACTATACATACATCATGTCACTTAACACTCAACATGAGGAAATAGTGAGGTTCAGGTAAGTACAACATCACGTACAAACAAAAAGACAGAGACAAACTCTGAATTCAGATCTTTGGTTTTGAAGCATGTAGTTTGACCACTATATTTATGATTTCTGGTGCATCCAAAACCATACAAGGAACATTTTCATATGTTTTCTAGGCTTTACTCTACAGAGTATGTGGAGTAGAACCCAGGAATTAGTATATGAGACTTGCCACACTACCCCATGTTGTCTCTAATGAACAGAAAAAGGGTCATTGGTTCATTTCAGACCCCAGTGATATATAACTAAAGATCTCTTTCCTGGTTGTATAGACCCATTTATTAATATTCTTTGAGGTTAGTATATACACTGTGCTATTATTTAACTTATATTTACCAGTTAGTTCATAAGATTTTTGTGATACTTCTTTTATCTTGCATGAAGCAGGAGAGAACCCAGTGTGCCAATAAGAAGCTTAGCTGAAATCAAGTTAATTTGCATAAACATAGATGCATCCTTTCTTTGGACTATAATCCTAGTAACATCAATGGAAAAGAAAATTACTTTAGTATTCACTAGTGGCCTCCATAACAGTGTAAAATAAATGCTCAAAGTGATAGGATTACATAGAAAGAAGAGCAGGCTCTCATAGAGAAAAATGTGAGTACATCACACAGAAATTCCATCCTTTCCCAGTTCCTCTAAGGGACCTGGCCCTAGAAGCTAGAGAAGAAAGCAGTGAGCTAGTGTCATTAAGAGTCTGTTTCATAGAGGAAATGGATGGGACATGATCTAAAATCTTAAGGAATGTGAAGGTCCTGGCATAATGGAGCAAGCAAAGTGAAAGAAAATAATAGCAACATTATTGACATGCAGGAATTGACATGCTAAGTGAAAAAGATTAAAAGGAAACTAAATTGACCAGAGTTATAATTTATGCTCTGGAATTCTGGGAGAGAAGATGAAACTGGTCAGAATATAGAAAGCATTAAAAACACAATAGAAGAGATTGAATTTAATTTGATATGACCTGGGTATCTTATTGTGGTTTTTGTGTATGAAGTGACATGAGAAACCAGTATGTTACAAGATGATGATAGTAATAGCCAGTGCCATTTATTATGTGCTTATCATATGCCAGGATTTTTACAGACAACACACACATTTACTCTCCTTCATAAATTTATAAGATTGGTATTATCTCAGTTTTACAGGTAAGGAAACTGAGACATAAGGGAGATAAGAGATTCATCCAAGAGCTCACAGATAAAATGGAGTGAAGCCACATTTCACCCATGTATATCTTATTCTAAAGACCACATCATACTGTGGTGCCTCTAATGAGATTGGTCTGGTATCCTTGTGAGATTCATACTGGGGAGAAGCAAAGATTCTAATTAGGAGAAGGGTAACCGGGGCTTGGGCTAATGTGATTCAGTTTTGTGTACAGTGAAACTTGTGGGGATAACATCCCTGTTTAGGGGTGAAGAGTCTAATTACAATTTGAATTACAATATGAAGCAGTTTATAAGGTGAAATGTACCCTTCATCAGACTATGTCATAATTTAGTTTTTAAAAGTTATTGAGAATCTTTAGTTATATCTATAATAGACTCTATAACTCGACTACTTAGAGAACTGGATTCTCAGGGAAATAGTTTTCATGTGCATTAGGAAATGTTTAGAGGAGCAAATTTGCCAATGAGAGCTGAGAACTCAATCTCTGGATGTTTAAGTTTTTAAGTAAATAATTCATGGATTTGTAAGATCTTTCTAAGGTTTTTATAAATGGTGTGATTTTTATCTTCAGATGGGTCTTTTGCCTGATGGGGATGGCCTCTCAAGATATATTAATTTCTTTATAATAAATCTTTTTGTATTGTATGCAACACGGATTACAAGAGATATGCAAATAAGGAAGCATGTTAAGGCACAGTTTCATTACATTGATTAAAGGCAAAGCAGAATTTTTGTTGCCTGCAGTGAGGTAGTTATGCCAGAACTCAAGTCAGTGTGGTTTTTTTTGAAGTCGTTTGGTGTTTCTCTGTCTGAGCAAGCTGTTCTCATAGCAGACTCCCCCCTCCCAGATCCTCATCAGAATGCTTGATGTTTCTGTCATTCTTATTTATACTTTTGTTTTAATCATTACTTCTCATTAGCATTATGAGAACGTACACATTCACTTGTTCATCCAACAAGTATTTATTAAATGTTTATTGTATGCTGGGTACTATGTTAGCTGGAACAATTTGCTAAAGGGATTTTTTTTAATCTTAGAAGAACTTTAATTTATCAAATATAATAGCAGGTCAGACTTAGTCTTGGAGTAAAGAACATGTTTTTATTTTGTTTTAATGAAGGGCAAGAAGAAATTGTACTTTTCATATTCAGTATCTACTTTTTCCAAGTCACTAACAAGCAGACATTGGCAAAGTCTTCAGAAAATGTGGGTCATCTTTGGTCAAGTTTCAATCTCAGAAGGTGCATCTAAGTCACATTTCCGAATATTCTGAGGTATGCTTTCTCCTATGTTCAATAAATTATTTTAAACTTTCCTTTAAATAGTAGACTTCATCCATAGTGAAGAGAGCCCAAGGGAAGGAAGAGATTGTTGCTTAAGCAGGAAACCTCAGTACTAATCTCTGGAATTATCTAGCTTTATCTTATTGATGTATGTCAGATCACTCTTCTTGATTCTCAGCTTCCTTTCTGGTAAAATGTAAGAACTGGTCTAATTGAGGCATGAGGACTTTAATACTTCTATGCTTTAACTATAAATATAAAGCCACCAATTTGAGCACCTGTTCTTTGTCATATACCGTGATTGCTCTTTTATCTGTATTATTTCTAATCCTCATGACAACAAGGAAAACTGGACATTATCATTTTATAGAGAAGAAAACCGAAGGTAAGAAAAGACACTAATTTATCTATGCTTACATGACTTAGAAGTTCTTTGTAATTCAAACCCAGGTCTGTCTTATTTTAAAATGTGTTTTCTACCATCACAGGTTGAAACACTAACATTCCCATAACTCTCAAAAATAAAAAAAAAAAGTTAAAAACTAAAAATAGTGCAAATAAACTCCAGGATTACCACCAAAATTAAAAATTATAAAAGACCACCCCCAAAAAGTTTAATTTAAAATTACAAGAAAATATTCCTTTACAATGGCTCATTTTTTAGTATATAGTTAGTTTAGTGGGCCTTGGCCTCTGAGAGTTGATCATCGTAAAACCTGTACGACTCATTTCAAAGTCTTGTGCCTCAGGAAATAAGACTTGCATGACCAATGTCCCTTGTCTTGTTGTGTTGCCTATTTTAATTCAACAGCACTGACTTTACTGGCTGCCCATCAGCAGACTCACAAGGTGGAAAATACCAAGATTTTTTCCAAAATACTTACATTCTAGAGATTTTCAAAAAGTGGAATGATAAAGCACTTTGTGATTTTGAAAATGACTCATAAACCTAGATTACTATAAGGGAGATAGTTCTCAAAATAAAATGAGAATGATTTGGGAAAAGAGAAAAATACTTGAGAGCTGTGACTGAGACTATTAGGTTTGGAGTGATTGCTATTAAGACAGACACAAAACCAATGCAGAACTAAGTGACCGTAGCTGAATGCATTCAGAAAGACGTGGATGTGATCCAATCATTTTGAAAATACTGAGCCTAAGAAGTGAGTATGGTTTTTCCTACACTACATTTGAGGGGTTGGAGTGTTTAATTAATTGATGTTTGCATTAATATTAAACATCAGTTGATGTTAAAACAAGTTAGGCATTCACACAGTTTAAAGCTTTAAATCATTTTAGAATTCTTCATTTAAAAAGCAGTACCTTTGTACCCCAATCTCATTTCTTTCTCACACAGAAAACTTTTTCATGGTTTTCCACTTTTTAGCTTTTGTTTTTATTTTCATATGGACTACTAATTTTTAGCAGCTTCTTTTATCTTATACCCTCCTGCCTCAGAACTGGGATGTCTACAGTTGTCTTGTGTTTGTAGAAGTGATGGATTTATTAAGTTAAATAATTTGGTGCTCTTTTTTCATCATAGTTTTTAATCCCTTCTAATAATGCATTGTTTCCTTGTGAGTGTCCATAGCTGTATTACTCCACTCTTGCACGGCTATAAAAAAAATACCTGAGCCTGTATAATTTACAAAGAAAAGAGGTTTAATTGTCTCATGGTTCCACAGGCTGTACAGGAAGCATAGCTGGAGAGGCCTCAGGAAAGTTACAATCATGGCAGTAGGTGAAGGGGACGCAGGCACATCTTACAGGGCCAGAGCAGGAGGAAGAGAAAGAAGGGGGAGGTGCTACACATTTGAAACAACCAGATCTTGGGATAACTCACTTACTATCATGAGAACAGCACCAAAGGGGAGATCTGCGCCATGATCAAATGACATCCCACCAGGCCCCACCTCCAACATTGAGGATTACAGTTTGACAGAGATTTCCGTGGGGACACAGATCCAAACCATATCAATAGGTAAACGTTTTTTATTGTGATAAAATATACATAACATAAAATGTGCCATTTTAAACATTTTAAATTATACAATTCATTGGCATTTAGTATATTCACAGTGTTGTATATCCATCATCCATATCTAGCTCCAGAGAATGTTCTGTATTTCTCTATTAGGTCTAGTTGGCTTACAGTATCATTGAAGTCATTTATTTTCTTATTGACCTTCTGTATAGTTATTTTATCCATTATTGAAAATAGGGTATTGAAATCTCCTATGATTACTGTAGAGCTGTTTATTCTGCCTTCATTTCTGTCAAATTTGCTTTATATATTTTGGGACTCAGTTGTTAGGTGCATGTATGCTTTTAATTGTCACATCTTCCTGAGGGATTGACCCTTTTATTAATATATAATGCCTCCCTTTTTCTTTTATAACAACTTTTGACTTAGTACATTTTGTATGATATTAGTGTGGCCACTCCAGCTTTTTCTTTTTTTACTCTTTGCATGAAATATCTTTTTCTATCCTTTAACTTTCAACCTATTTGTGTCTTTGGATCTAAAATGAGTCTCATGTAGACAGTATATATTTGGATCATTTTCTAATCTCTGCCTTTTAATTGGATAGTATAATTCATTTACACTTAAAGTAGCTACTAACAAAGAACTTACTTATGCCATTTTGCTATTTGTTTTCTGATGTCTTATAACCTTTTTGTTCCTTAATTCCTCCATTATTGTCTTTCATATTAGTTACATTTTTGTTATTAATTTAATTTCCTTTTGTAATCCCTTTTGGTTCCCTTCTCATTTACTTTTCTGAACATTTCTCACTTGTTCTTTCAGGTTACTTTTGGAATTACAGTTAGTATCTTACATTTATAAGTAATCGAGTTTGAATTAATACCCACTTAGCTTCAATAGTATATAAAACTCTGCTTTAATATAGGTCTCTCCCATGTGTTTGTGTTGTTATTGTCACAAATTCCATGTTTTCACATTGTGTCCCCATTAGCATAAATTTATAATTATTGATTTATGCATTTGTCTTCTAAATGACATAGGAAAAAGAAGAGGAGTTACAAACTGAAATTACAATAATACTGTTTGTTATATTCACCTATGTAGTTACCTTTACTGGTGATTTTTATTTCTTCATGTAGCTGCAAGTTGTTGTCTAGTGTGTTTTTGTTTCAATATGAAGAACTCCCTTTAACATTTCTTACAGTACCAGTCTGTTAGTGAAAAACTCCTTCACCTTTTGTTTATTTGTGAATGTCTAAATTTCTCCTTCATCTTTAAAGGATAGCTTTGCTTAATATAGGTCTTAATTTACAGTTCTTCTCTTTCAGCAATTTAAATAAGTCATTTCACTGTCTTAAGTCTTCTATAGTTTAAATAAGATATTATTCTTATTGATGATCACTTGTACCTGATGAGTTACTTCTCTCTTGCTTCTTTCAAGATTCTTGCTTTGGTTTTTGATGGTTTGATTATAATATGTCAGTTTAGATCTGTTGGAGTTTATCTTACTTGGTATTTGTTGGGCTTCTTGAATAAGTAGATTTATTTCTTTTATTAAATTTGCATTTGGGGAAGTAGCTAGTTTTTTTATTTTTTTGTCTTTTTTTAAGGAAGACTCGATTTGTTCAGGTAGGGGGTAACTATCAAGAAGAATATATAAGAAAAGTGAGCCAAAATGTAGAAATACTGTGAGCCATTATTTGGTCTTTTGTCCATTATTCTGTCTCCTCTCTTTCTGGGATTCCGATAGCTAGATAGGTAGATATGCTTAATGATATCCCAAAGGTTGCTGAGGTTCTGTTCATTTATCTTCATTTATTTTGTTTCTGTTCTTTAGAATGGATAATTTCAATTGATTTATCTATATGTTTTCTATTCTTTTTTTCTACCTGCTCAAAAGTGCTGTAGAAACCTTCTAGAGATTTTTTTATTTCAGTATTATACTTGTACATTTCAGCTCCAGAATTTGTTTCCTTTATATCATTTCTGCCTTCTTTATTTGGTGAGACATTGGTTTCATATATTCCTTTGGTTCTTTGTCTATGGCTTTAAACATATTTAAGACAGTTGATTTAATCTCTTTGTCTAGTAAATCTAGTGTCTAGGATTCCTCAGGGACAGTTCACATTCATTTCTTTTTTTCCCTGTAAATGGGCCACACTTTATTATTTTTTTTGGAAGTCTAATATCTTTTTGTTTAAAACTGAGCATTTTAAATATTATAGTAACTGGAAATCCGATTCTTCTTGTCCCCAAGTTTTTGTTATTGCTACTTGTCTTGGGTTGTACTTGTATGTTTAGTGACTTTTCTAATTTTTTACTGACAGTATTTTTTATCCTCTGTGGTCACTGAAATCTCTGTTCTACTAACTCAATGGTCAGCTAGTGATTTGACAAAGATTTCCTTAAATGCCTGGATAAAACAAAAACTCTCTCAGTCTTTGCAACTGGGCTCTGTGTGTATGTTGGGGCAGGCCTTTAACACTCAGCTAAGCAGTTTACAACTCTGCCTTCAACTTCATTTCCTGCTTTCACAGAGTCTGAAGTTCACCCAAAGGTGAGACTTTAGGATCTTCTCAAGATCATTTGATCATGTGGCCTGTTCTGCGCATGTGTGTGACCTTCTAGATACCTGGGAATATGTGGAAGCTTCTCAAAGCCCTTACTCCCCCAAGCATCTCACTTCCCAGCCTTCTTCTCAAGTTTTTTGTTTTGTTTATTGTTTATCCCATCTAATATTCTTTGTCTCATGGGCGTAGCAGTGGCTGGTTGATTTGCTATTAAGTATTTATATAGATGCTGTCTGTGCAGCCATGTTTGTGCCCTGGGAGAGTTCTGAGTTAGGCAAAATAAAGGCAAGTCCCCTGTGTTAGTCCTTCAGGAAACCACCTGATAGGTCAAAACAGGCAACCACAGTTTTTTCAGAACAAAATCTGTTCTGCTCCCTCTGGTACCAGGACCCACACTGGTAGAACAAGGTGCTTTCTTCAGGACCACCATTAAGCCAGCAATGGTGGGGATGGACACAAATAAATTAAAATACTATAAACCTCTTCCACTGGGTTACAGTGGCCCTTTCTCTTGATTAAGAATTCTCTTGGTTGCTGCAAACCTTTGACTGGCAGTAGGTGAAGGGGAAGCAGGCACGTCTTACAGGGCCAGAGCAGGAGGAAGAGAGAGAAGGGGGAGGTGCTACACATTTTAAACAACCAGATCTTTGATAACTCACGAAAACAATACCAAAGGGGAAATCTGCCCCATGATCTAATAACATCCCAGAATTTCACAGACATCCCATTTTCCAGAATTTCAGTAACTTTGTTTCTGACAGTTTTGCCAGAATTGTTTGTTTGTTTGTTTCGTTTTGTTTTTTGCTTTTCAGTGGAGAGTAAGGCTATTGGAGTCTCCTACTCTGACATTCTCGCTGATGCCTTCATAACATATTTTAAGTTGGCTTGTGCACATTTATGACTCCTGGTCTTCTCCAGACCTCTCACATGCTTCATACCTCTCCATTTGGGAAAACAGCTTTTATGATTTTATGTGTGTGGTGGTGGGGAAGGGGAGGAGAGAGAGAGAGAGTGTGTGTGTGTGTGTGCGTGTGTGAGAGAGAAAGAGAGAGAGAATGTATACATGCATTTAGGGAGGTGGCTAAGTTAAAAAAAGAAAAGGAAGAGTTAAATTGTTTAGGCAGGGGGGTAACTATCAAGAAAATACATAAGAAAAGTGAGTCAAAATGTAGAAATCCTATAAGCTAAAACCAAGGACTTCAAAATGAATTTATGGAATTCATATGATATCCCAATCAGCATTGTGGAGACTGTCTCTTGAAGCAAATATACACTAAAGACAAGGATAATAAATTGGATATCTTTGGAGGAAAATTAAAGTTGAGTTATAAAGCATGTGGCATCGAAATTAGTAGGAAAAAAAATGTTCTCCAAATTAAGTAAGGCAGAGTGCTCCTAAAAATAATGCCAGTAGCCCAATTTTACAAACCCTATGTAACTCTTAGGACATTGCCACCTTCAGGTATGATTAGGACAGGTGCAAAGTAATTTAAAAGCAAGCATGAACTAATTTTGTGAAGGTTATCCGTGCACAAAGAGAAATTTTACAAAGAGCATTTTTTTTAGGCTCAGGCTGGGTACCAACCACAGCATTTGGCTCAGCTCCGCAGGTGATGCCAGCTGTTTTTTTAAAAAGGTCTGCCTACCTTTTAAAGGATTTGCGTTTCTGGATCAGAATGAAAAGAGACCCACTTCCTTTCTTCCCTTACATGTTCTTCCCTATCCCCACCATAGGAACCCACAGACACTATTTTCACTAACTCTCTGTGCAACCTGGGTCAAGTGATTTAACCTTTTTAAAGGTCAGTTTCCTCCTCTTTAAAATGAAAGGACTGAACGAAAATGATGTCTCTCTAAAGTCCTTTATGCTTTTAAAGTTCCATGATTCTTTCTGATACAGTTTAGAATATTTATATTCTTCTGTTCTCTTTATCTGTATTTAACAACTGAAACCACTACCTCATAAACTATACTAACGTCACTTTCCATTCTTCCTCTAAACTATCTCTTGCATTAGAATCCACTTCCTAAACTATTTTGTCTTCCTTTGAATTGATATGACCATGCCTAAAAGAATGACCCTACATTTTCTCTCATTCTTGAGTGTCTATCATAGAGAGGGCTGCAAAGAAAGGAGTTATTTCTCAGATCTCTAGATCTTGTCCACTGACGATTCAGACTCCTTTACTGAGTGATTGGCATAGTAACAATTTGACCACACCCCAACCAATGTCACTGCCCAGTATCTTTGATATAAGATGAATTAGGATCATTTTATCTGACACCTAAAATTGGCTCCATTTTAAATCACCTCCAAAGTTATTAAAATTATTTGTTCTAAACACGTAAGTTCCCAGGTTGTCTTTTTCAGAATTGGAAAGGACATGGTCCAAAGCCGACAAATGTCAAAATAAATAGTTTCATCTGTTCTAGGAGTTAGCTTAAATGCTTTTCTTCTTTGCAAGCCATTTGAAAACAGCAGTGATTACCATGAGAGAAGTGCAGCCTATTTAAGAGGTAATTATAAGGATATGAAATTGACAACAAAATTAGTGCTCTTAGTTGTTTTTTAAAATTATATTAGCACTTCCACAGCAGACTAGATAAATCTTTTTCTTATTGCTTTTAGCTAATTGAAATATTAATACATTTGAAATACAAAAAATGTGACTGATCATATGCAAATATAATTTGCAAAAGATAATTCTGTTATGCATAGAAAATCACCTCTAAGGAAATTAGATACAAAGGATATTTGGTTCATGTATTTGTTGCCCAAAAGTAGGCAAGATTTTATTTTTAAGAAATTATAAATCTTTGATATCTAGGGTTTAACTAAAGGGAAACAAAATATAAAACCACAAATTCGTTCTTCTTTGTCAGAACCTGATGTTCTTACAAAATTTTATGTAAGGGCCCAGTGTTTATCATTTCAACCTTGTTTTGATAAAGCATGCCTAGAATTCCTGTAATTTACATATTCCAAAAACCTAAGAATCCATTCTTAAGAGACAGAAAACAATTATGATACAATAGCATGAGTGCTACAAAGAGAGATATATGAGGTGAAATGGAGTAAATATGCTTGTCAGAAACAGGGAAGCTTTCTCAAAGGCTGTAAGTGAGACTAAAAGAATGTGTCAACAAATAATAGGAAGAAAGGAATTAAGAATAGAATAGCATGGACAAACACACACACATGCATATACACACACAGTGGTTTGTGTAGCTAGGGCATAGAGTTCACAGCAGGGGAATGGTGGGTAATCAGGGAGACAGATTAAGAATGACCTAATAAGACTCATGTGTTTGTCAAGGTAAGTAATGCTATGTGCTGGAACAGTTTTATAAATCCCATTGGTCTAACACAATGCAGGTTTATTTAGTGCACAAAGAATAGTTTATTTGAGTGTTAATTGGGTGCCCTTCCATGTGGTGATTCTGGGAACATGGCTTATTGTTCCTTACAGTTCTATATGCTCCAGGAAATTTCTGGTTAATAGTATCAAATGCTCCTGAGGGATCAACCCAACTTGAAAAGTGCCCGCTGCATGTAGCAACTAAAAGGTCACTGTGACAGTTTCAGGAGTAATTTCATTGGAGCATAAGGGTAAAAGCCAGTTTGCAGTGGAGGTGAGTGAGAGGTGAGAAAGAATTGCTGGTAGGTACCAATGACTCTTCAAAAATATTGGATGTAAATAAAAGAGAAGACAAGAATTGCAGATGAGGAGAGAATACTTGAGGGGTTATTTTATTATTTGTCTTTGATTGTTTTTGCCAGCACAGAGATTTTAGCATGGTTATATGGTGAGAGTAAAGATTTAGTTGAGAGGAAAAGGTTGTAGATGCTGAGAGGAGAGCAATAATTAAGTAAGGTCCCTGAAAAAGCAGCTGACAATGAGATTCAGAGGACAGATAAAGGGATTAGCCTTATGCTGGAAGCCTTAAGCTTTGTCCATTGACCTGGGAGAGAAGGCAATGAGATAAAGAAAAGTAATATTAAAGCTATTTCAGGAATGTCAGACAGTGTTTGAAGTTCAGATATATGTGTAAAAAAACAAACTTCAAATAATAGAGAAATAAACCATGTATTTAAAAACAATTGTGAATCATGGGATATTGGATCTATTCTCATGTAGTCTAGAGAGGCTGGACTGCTACTTAATTTTCTTCATTGAATGTGGCTCCTGCTCATCACTAAATGTGTTTCAATGGTCACACATTTTATTGGTAGACTTAAAAGATATATGTGTAAGTTAATATATGATTTTAGCTGTTACTTTGGAATACATAATGTAAATCTTTGAAAGATTTGAAAACTTGTATTTGGTATTAGTTATTTTGAGGATTCTGCCTACTGAATATAGATGGAATATATTCACATTTTTCTTTTGACAGAAATAGGGCAGTTTGATTTTTTCTATTTGATTAAAAATATATTAAAAATAAATTATAGTATTCTTGATGTAAGCATTCTGTACACTTATTGTTTTGAGAAGGAGCTTTAGGCAAATTTCTAAAGATTTTTCTTTATTCATAAAGACAAAACATTATCTCAAAGGTCAAATAAAGAAGAAGAGAAAAAACTAATCTACTTAATTTTAATTATTCTAAATTATTCTGTTAGTCTTTCCCATTTTACTTTTAGGTGTTAGACAAATGGGTCCATTCTAATTTTCTCCTTGCAGAATCCATAGCATCCACAAAAGTGATTCATTCTAAAGTGTTAATGTAGACTATCAATATGTTTTGATAATTTTAGGAGAGTTTACCACTCTGGCCTCGCCTTTTCTTTTCTAAATATACAAAGATATACTGCCTCTTTTGGAATCATGGAATCTCAGTGGAAGCAGGAAGTTTAGAAGGCATCACAGCTACCATCTACTAGAGATTGCACACCTTTATTCATTCAATGAACATTGGTTGGGTTTCTACCTCTTTAGACTTATCGCAGGGTCAGTTTTTACTTACTGTCTATGATTAGCCACACTTGACTTCTTTCAATCCCCTGACCTCCTTTCAACCTCCAGGACATCTCATACTCTATTTATTCCATGTGCCTACAATACTGTCTTCCCAGAACCTGTCCCTTAGGCTAGCTGATACTTACTCATCTTACAGGTCTCTATAACTCAAACAGCTTCCCTAGGAAATCTTTCTTTGCCTGCACCTGCTAGCTTAAATCTCCCATTTAAATGCTCTCTTATTTTCATATATCTTTTTAGTCGCGTTTAATTAATGCATACTTTTTCACCTGATAACTCTAACACTAAATGCTGACCTCCATGATATCAGGAACTATGCGCGTTTTATTCACCACCATATTCCTAGGTCTCTAGAAGAGTACTGGCACATAGTAGGTATTTAATTAAAAGTCTTGAATGACTAAATGAAGTTTTGAATGAATGCAGCCCCCAGAATTTGATACTGAAAAATACTTACTGAATTAGAAAGAATTATTGTTCTTCAGTCACTCATATTCTTCTAAGGAGAAGTCATGTAATGAAGTAATTATTAAATATTGTAGTAGTTAAAAGGTGAATGTTGATCAGAATACCTGGGTTGAAATCCTTGCTTCCTTCTATATACCTTTATTATTGACCAAATAACATAATCTTTCTAAGGCTCAATTTCCTTATCTGTAAAATGGGGGAAATTACAGTGCCTACCTCTACCTACTTACAGTACTTACCAGATACTGCAGACTGGCTTACTGATTACCCATTCTGTATCCATTATATCTCACCTTCCTACCATAGAGCTGAAAAATTAAAACAGAACAAAACAGAACTTTATTTCTAGATTTCCTTGAAGCTACATTTCTATTGGGAATTTGGTTCTACTGAGCAAATTTAGATGCAGAAGGGAACAGAGAAGGCAGTAGCCACATGTGGCAAGCATGGTGATAGAGATGTCTGGTTCTTTAGGGACAGTTTTAGTGAAATCTCTTAAATCTAGGTGTAGGTACTGGTACTCATGTGTGAAATCAATGTGCAGTTCTTCTAGAATAGTCGGGTAGTGTGCGTGGATATTTCATCTGTTGGCTTTAACGCTGGATGCCTTGTTTCTGGTTGTGAAACATCTGAGCTTGATTCTCTAGCACTCCAAAAGATTCCATGAGCTAATTAATACCTAGAATGATTCACTTCTGCTCCAAATAGCTAAAGAGGATTCTCTAGCTTGCAACCATGAAGTATAGAAGAGTAATCCACAAATAGTTTGTTGAAAGGCTTCATCTAAATGGAAGCTTTGTCCTTGAGACCTGAACACAAAGACTGTGACAAATCAAGGTAAGACAATTAATGCTATATTTGGCAAATAACCTAATGTTACTTTACCTGATTTTGTGTCAAAACCCTTCCCCAAAACTTCTTGAGGAGACAGTTTCATGATTTATTACTGTATAGATGGATATAGATAAAATTTTGACAAGTGCGCTCGATTAAGTTGCTAATTTAAATATATATATTGAGATAAATCTAGAAGAATACACTGCTAAATTACATTGCAAACAATTTCTTTCCTTTATGCTTATCTGTATTTTATTATTTCTCAGAAGTAAACACATATTATTTATATATCTTTGAAAAGACAAATCTTTTAGCTGTTTAAACTTTCACATTTACATAGTGCTTTGCATTTTTTTTAAAAGTTCTCACATGTATTAATTTTATGACCACTGTGTAAGGTAATTGGTAATATAGTCATTTGTCACATAGCAATGTTTGGGTCATAATGTTAAAATAGAGCATATCTAGAAACCTGATATCTGGTACTGGATATTGGCATTGCAGATCAAGTAGGGGAAATGATTGATATTACTAATGGTACTGGGGCATTTGGTTTTCCATAAGAAAATATATATACATATATATAAATAAAAAATATATACCATCTAGGTTTGTGTAAGTACACTCTTTGATGTTTGTTTTGCATAGTGATGGAATTGCCTAATGATGCATTTCTCAGAACATATCTCTGTTGTTAGGTGATACATGACTGTATTGCTGTTATACAATATTGCAAACTGAGGCCAAGAGAAACTAGTAATTGGCAGAGTGAGAACTTGAGTTCAGGTTCTCTGACTCTAAGTTATTTACTTTTTTTGCTTTATCACAGCTGATCAGCAGTTCACTGAGAGCAGCTCTCTGTAAAATGAAATAAATTTTGATCATCAGAGCCAAGTGAAAGACTTAAATGGTAGCCCAGACTGTACCATTGATTAGGTTTGCAACTTGGAGCAGGCTAATGAACCTTTTTCAGTTCATTTCTATCTGTAAAATGAGGTTCAGAACAAAGGTCTCTGAGGAAATACAAAAATAAAATTAAAAATAAATAAATAAAATGAGGATGCCACAAACTTCCTGTCAATATGACCCCATAAGTTTATAATACATAACAATGGGAAAGAAATTAAGACTAAAAAATCTAAAAGACAGGGCCAAGTTCAAAAGCAAGATAGAACATTTCAGTGACCCTCAAATGGAATAGAAACCTAAGAAGTATACAGGATTGAGACCTAGGAACTACTATGGTCTGACGCAGAGTCTCAGTTTCTGTTTGGTAGAGGACTAAAAGTTTTGTGCGAAAGTGGAGACTGGATCTAGGATTACTGTCAAAAGCCAAGGTCAGGGGCAAGGCAGAAGTAGGGAGGATGGGCGCCTGAAAACCAGAATTCAAAAATACATAAGGAAATCTAAAACTGAGTAATGCATCTAACAAAATCAACTTTCAAAAGCTAATTTATGAAATTAATACATCCTAACAGATACTTTCTAAAAGCTTGAAGAAATAGGGAGAGAAGTGGAACAAGGTGGATGAATAGAACCCTCCAGCGATTGTACTCCCCCACCTCAGGAACACCATATTGAACAACTGTCCACACAAGAAACCACCTTTATAACAACCAAAATTTAGGTGAGCAATCACAGTACCTGGTTTTAACATCATATCTAGGAAAGAGAAGGTAGGAAAGACAGCTGTGAATTGCCTACACCAACCCTGCCCCATTCCCTGACAATGCAGTGTGGCATGGAGAGAGAATTTGTGTGTTTGGGAGAGGAAGAATGCAGTGATTGCTGGACTTTGCATTGCAACTAAGTGCTGCCCCATCATAGTGGAAAGCAACACAGGGGAGAAGTCAGCAAGAGCCTATGAGGGAGCACTTAGAGCATCCCTAGTCAGAGGGGAATTATCCGTTCCAGCTTGTGGAACCCAAGTTCTGGCTAGCCCCACCACTGTGGGCTAAAGTGCCCTTGGGTCCTAAATAAACTTGAAAGATGGTCTATGCCACAAGGACTGTAATTCCTGGGCAAATCTTAGCCCTTTGCTTGGTTCCAAGCCATTGGACTTGGGGTGTACATGACCTAGTGGGACACCAGCCAAGGAACTGCTTGCACCACTCCTCACCCAGCCCAAGGCAGTGAAGCCCACAGTTCTGAGAGAGACTCCTTCCTTTCACTTTAGGAGACGAGATGGGAGAGTAAAGGGGACTTCATCTTTCAACTCGGAAATAACAGCTCAGCCACAGTCAAATAAGGTCTTAGGCAGTTTGCCTAACTCCTGAGGCTCCCAGTCCAGGCACTATCTTCCCTGTCTTTCTAGATATACCCTGCACCAGAAGGGAACCCACTATCTTGAAGGGAAGGACATCATCCAGGCAAGATTCATCACCTGCTGGCTAAAGAGCCCATGGGCCTTGAATAAACATCAGTGGTAACCAGGCAGTACTTGCCACGTGCCTTGTGAGACTCAGAGACATGCTGGCTTCTGGCATGGCCCAGCATATTCTGAGCAGAGCTGGCCACGAGGAGAGACTCCTGCTTAAGAAAGGAGAGGGAAGAATAAAGGAGATTTTGTTGTGCAGCTTGGGCACCAGCTTGGTCACAGTGGAGTAGAGCACAAAGCAGGCTCTTAAAGTCCCAGATTCCAGGCCGTAGCTCTTAGATGACATTTCTGGACCTTCCCTGGGCCAGAGGGGAGCCCACTGCCCTGAAAGGAGAGACTCAGGCCTGGCAGCATTCACCACAAGCTAACTGAAGAGCCTTTGGGCCCTGAGTGAATATCGGCAATAGCCACACAGTACACAACATGGGCCTGGGGCAGTGGTACCCACAGGGGAGACTACTGCTTGAGGAAAGGAGAGAAAAGAATGGGAAGGACTTTGTCTTGTGGCTTGCATGCCAGTTCAGCTGCAGTAGAATAGTACCAAGCGGATTCCTAAGGATTCTGACTCCAGGCTGTGGTTCCCGGACAGCATTTCTGGACCCATCCTGGGACAAGTGGGAGCTTACCTCCCTGAAGGGAAGTACACAAGCCTGTCTGGATTCACCGCCTTCTGACTTAAGAACACTTGGGCCTTGAGTGAACATCATCAGTAGTCAGGCAGTGGTCACCACAGGCCTTGGGCAAGATCCAGTGCTGTGCTGGCTTCAGATCTGACCCAGTGCAATTTCAGTGGAGGTGGCCACAGGAGTGTTTGTGCCCTCCAGGGAGTGCTTCCCTATCTCCAGGCAGCTCAGCACAGAGTGAAAGACTATGTTTGTTAGTGGAAAGTAAAAGAAGACAACAAAATTCTATGCCTGATAATCCATGGAATTCTCTCAGATCTCACCCAATTCTCTCTCAGGTCCACCAAGGCTGGACCTCTGTAAGTCTCTAAAAGTCTCAGTGTTCCTGGGCTTGGGGTGCCCCCTAATGCAGATATGGCTGCAGTAACCAAAGTCTTAAATTACATTACTCAATTTCCATTGAATACTTGGAAATCCCTCCCAAGAAGAATGGGTACAAACAAGTCTAGACTGAGAAAACTACAATAAATACCTAACTTAAATTCCTGGACACGGATGGGTATCCACAAGCATCAAGACTATCCAGGAAAATGTTACCTGACCAAATGAACTAAATAAGATACCAGTGAGCATCCTGGAGAGACAGATATGTAACCTTTCAGACAGAGAATTCCAAATAGCTGTTTTGAGGAAACTCTTTGAAATTCAAGATAATACAGAGAAGGTATTCAGAATTCTATCAGATAAATTTAACAAAAAGACAAATAATTTTTAAAAATCAAGCAAAAATTCTGGAGCAGAAAAATTCAGTTGACATACCAAAGAATGCATTAGATTCTCTCAACAGCAGAATTGATCAAGCAGAAGAAAGAATAACCGAGCTTGAAGACAGTCTATTTGAAAATGTACAATCAGAGAAACAAAAGAAAAAACAATGAAGCACACCTACAAAATTTAGCAAATAGCCTCAAAAGGGAAATCTAATGGTTATTGGTCTTCAAGAGGATGAAGAGAGATTGAAATAGGAAGTTTATTCAAAGGTATAATAAAAGAGAACTTTCCAAACCTAGATAAAGAGATCAGTATTCAATTACAAAAAAGTGATAGAATACCAAGCAGATTCAATTCAAATAAGTCTACCTCAAGACACTTAATAACCAAACTCCCAAAGGCCAAATGTAAAGAAAGGATCCTGAAAGCAGCAAGAGAAAAGAAACAAATAACATTCAATGGAGTTTCAATATGCCTGGCAGCAGACTTCTCAGTGGAGACCCTTATAGGCCAGGACAGAGTAGCATGACATATTTAAAGTGCTGAAGGAAAAAATCTTTTACCCTTGAATAGTATATCCAAGTTCTCCTTCATGTATGAAGAATATTTTCCCTGGCATAAAAACCAACACATGGAACAGAATAGAGAACCCAGAAATAAATCCGTACATCTAAAGTGAACTTATTTTCAACAAAGGTGCTAAGAACGTAGATTTGGGAAAACACAGCCTCTTCAATAAATGATGGTGGCAAAACTAGATATCCATACGAGAAGAATGAAACTAGACCCCTATTTTTCATTGTATACAAAAATCAAATCAAAGTGGATTAAAGACATACATCTAATGTCTCAAACATGAAACTACTACAAGAAAATATTGAAAAAACACTCCAGGACATTCAACTGGGCAGAGATTTGTTGAAAAATACCCCACAAGCACCAGCAAGCCAAGTAAAAAGGGATAAATGGGATTACATCCAATTGAAGAGCTTCTGCATAGCAAAGGAAATAACAAAGTGAAGAGACAACCCACAGAATAGGAGAAAATATTTGCAAACTACTTATCTGACAAGGGATTAATAACCAGAATATATAAGGAACTCAAACAACTCTACAGGAAAAAAACATCTAGTAGTCCAATTAAAAAATGGGCAAAAGATGTGAATAGACATCTCTCAATAGAAGACGTATAAATGGCAGAGAGGTATAAGAAAAGGTGCTCTCAACGTTATTGGTTATCAGAGATATGCTAATCAAAACCACAATGAGAAATCATCTCACCCCAATTAAAATGGCTTTTATCCAAAAGACAGGCAATAATAGTGAATGCTAGCGAGGATGTGGAGAAAACGGAACTCTTGTACACTGTTCGTGGGAATGTAAGTTGGTGGAGCCACTATGGAGAACAGTATGGAGGTTCTTCAAAAAATTAAAACTAGAACTATCATATGATCCAGAAATCCCATTGCTAAGTATATTCCCCAAGGAAAGGAAATTAGTATATTGAAGAGATAGCTACACACTCCCATGTTTATTGCAGCACTATTCACAATAGCGAAAGTTTGGAAGCAACCTAAACATCCATCAGCAGACAAATGGAAATGAAAATGTACCACAGAAAATGTGGCACTTATACACAATGGAGTACTATTCAGCCATAAAAATAATAAGATCCTGTCATTTGCAACAATATGGATGGGACTGGAGGACATTATGTTAATAGAAATAAGCCAGGCACAGAAAGATTAACCTTGCATGTTCTCATTTATTTATGGGAGCTAAAAATTAAAACAATTGAACTCATGGAGATAATAAAATGGTGGTTACTAGAGGCTGGGAAGGGTAGCTGGGAACCAGGTGGGAGCAGGGATGGCTAATGGGTTAAAAAAAATAGAATGAATAGGATCTAGTATTTGATAGCAAAACAGGGTGACTATAGTCAACAGTAATTTATTGTATACTTAAAAGTAACTAAAACAATATAATTGGAATGTTCATAATACAAAGAAATAATAAATGCTTGAGATTAGGGATACCTCATTTACTGTGATGTGATTATTACACATTATATGCCTGTATCAAAATATCTTATGTACCCCATAAATATATACATCTACTATGTACCCATGAAAATTAAAAATGAAAAAAATTTTAAAAGCTTAAAAAATTAAAACTGAAGAAGAAAACTAGGAAGAAATAAAAATACAACACGTAAATAGAAAAAAGAAAGAACTCTTAGAAGTGGAAAATATGTTTGTTAAATAAATATAACATCTGCTCTATGAGTTTACAAAATTGCAAGACCATCGCGAGGACTCAATAGGATTGTGTCAGCCTGTGTTTTGTGAATTGAAACCTTTTGTAGTAAGAGATGGGAAACTGGGAGATTAGCCAAGAGATTTCTTCAATAGAGATCTCTCAGCTGGCTGGCAAAGAATTGAGGTAGCTGTAAGAGAAGGAAAGACTGTCATAAAAGGAAGAATATATTGACAAATTTCACTTCACCCTTGAATTTGCATGAGGAACTAGTCTCCTGGGACACCTTGCCTTACTCCATACGTAAAGGAAGAAAAAATTTATGCTTTTTTAAGTTGCTCATAAAATAATTGACTCATCTCTTGTAAAGGGAGGAGAATGGAAAAAAATGTACTACATAAATTAAGGCTATTATTATTCTTTCATTTTAGGAAAAAAATCACTCTCTAGGGAGGAAAACGTCTGGACATTGAGATTGCATGCTTTTTCAAATGTGCATTTCTATGGTGGTGTGCATTTGGAACTGGGCATGCAAACTTGAATTTGTGTATGGTATATTTTTATGCAAATGTGTACATGCATATCATAATGCTTGTTCTGTTCCACTCAAGAGTGGGTGGAGATATGAATATTATTGAGCAAGTATAATTTTTATACAAGCATTGTGTGGGCAGCTTCCATTCTGGCTAAGCATCTTAACAAAAATGCAAAGCTCAGATAAGAACAGGGAGATTTTGTAAGTATTAATATTAAAGCATGAATGTTTCTAATCATTCTCGAGGCCTGGTGGGTCTTGAATTAGAAAGAATGAAGCCATCCAGTACCAGGAAAATTGATGTACAGGAAACAGATATACTGTGCTTCTATCTTTCTATGTATCTATGTATCTATGTATCTATGTATCTATCTATCTGTCTGTCTGTCTGTCTGTCTGTCTGTCTATCTATCTATCTATCTATCTATTTAGAGGAGCAAATGGCTGTTTGGAATTCTGTATCTTGGAAGTCAAGCTAAACATGATGCCTGACCCAGAATTATAAATATTCTATGATGTGAAACTGAAACACTTGAAAGAGCTTTCTAAATAAATTCAAAATAACCTCACACCAGCCATAAAGCTCCATAACCATAAATCATACAAAAAACCAATCTGGCAGCAGTTGAGGTATATGAAATGCGATCAACATGTACCTACCCTACAACTTACTCACATTGTTAAAAAAAAAAAAAAAAAAAAACTGAGAACTGGAAATGTGACTTTGATCTCCCTACCTACCACCTAGTGGAATCAGTGCTTCTAAGTGAAAAAAATGTGGGACTAGAAAAGGGGCTGGAGATGGGAAAAGGGAAGGCTATTTTCTTGAAAGTGAATAAAGAATAACCAAGAAGCCTTCCTAGGAACATATTCAGGGTTGAGAAACAACCAAAGAGGCAAATAGAGAACAATTCTGTAACAAAATTTTTATTTTGGGTTTGGGTGACTTAGAGGCATGCAGCGGCTTCCACATGGAACTGAGACAGGGACCTGCAAACTAAATCAACAGGAAGGAGATTTTTTCCTTGGTGACCCAAAGAACGTTAAGAGTATCTCACCCAGTGATTGGTACAGAAGTAAATGCTATATTAGGATGTGAAAATGAAGACATTTATAAAGATCTGATTTATGTATGAAATTGTGGTATCCTAAAATGAGTAATGAAACTGTGCTTATAATTGTGCACCTGCTTCTTGAATCTATCTGTTAATTTCTATTCTCAGAGTCATCAGGTTCTTATTACCTCTTGCCTAAATTATTGCAATAACTTTCTAACTGGCCTTCTGTCTTTAGTCTCTTCCCAGTCTAAAGCATTCTCTTGCTCAGAAAATTTCAGTGTCTCCCCACTGCCTACAAAGTACAAAGCATGGCAGTCAGTATCCTCTATGATCTGGATCCAAATTTACATTTCCAGCCTTATCTGCCTTTACTTTTCTCTGTGTACTTTGTGCTTCAGCCAAATTGGCTAATCACCATTCCCCAAACATCCTCCAGAGTGATGTTTCTAAAACACAAACGTGATCTTGTTATTGCCTTACTGGAAAACCTTCAGTGACTTCTTATTGCTGCTCTGTAGGATCAATCCCAAAGTGCTTAGGCTACAATACAGCCCCCTAAATCTGGCCCCTGTCAAGCTCTCCAGCCTTATCTCTGACCACCAGACCCCAATCCACCCTCCTCAAAACCTATCATCCAGCCATATGGAATTACTTAAAGTTCTCTGAATAGGCCAACCTGTTTCTTGCCCTTGAGCCTTTGTTAAGATTGTTTCCTCTCCCTTGTACACCCTTCTTTCTAACCCTTCCTTCATCCTGCCCACAATGCCCCATGGTCCACCTGGAAAAAAGAAAAAAAGCTTTTTTTTTTTTGAAAGCTCAGCTCACCTCTATAAAAACTTTTCCATTTCTAAAAACCTTGATCACCACCTTCCTTATATGTCTCCAATACTTGTTCTCCTGTAATCCCAGTGCCAGGTACACGTTTTTAGCATTAAAACCATGACACTTTTTTGCATTAACTATTTCCTAACATATCTATGATCTAATTAAGGGCAGGGACAATGCCATATTTATCCTTCTAGCCCTGACACCTCACACAATGCAGAGAACGGAAGGGAGTTCAATAACTGGTAGCAAAGTGCCAACTCCTTGAGAATAGGGCCTGTGTTTAGTGAGTATTTGTTAAGAGAATGAATAAATGATGTACAGTTGTAATCTATCTGCCTATGTTTTGATATGCAGTAAAAAAGTCTTAGACAGCACATCGTATATGTTGTAGATCAGTGCTTCTCAAACTTTAATGTGCGCATGAATCATCTACGATCTTGGAAAAATTGTGTTCAGTTTCAGTAGATTTGAGTGGAGCCATAATTCTGCACTTCTAATAAGCTCCTAGGAGATGCCAATGCTGCTGGTCCTCAGACTACACTTTAACACGCTATACAGCATATCGAGGGAAAGGATTTCTCATGAGAGGTTTAAGGGAGGAACAAACTGTGGAAGGAACTCAATAGAACGGAAGGACTACTTAGTGGTGCCTGCAGAGGTTATACCCAGCTGTGAATATATTGTCAGGCTTTTTTGAGGCAGTGTTAGGGACTGATATTTAATCTTTACTGCCTTTATTTCCTCTATAATCGCAGCTCCCAGAGTCAGGTTTTCCCTCTATTCATTCCCCACGTATGATTCAGTCTGTGTGATTTTTCTCTACATAAGCTCTCTCCAGATTCCTTTTTTAGACTAACCTGAAGTTGTTCTCCTGTCTGCTTTCCATAAATTTAGTCTCTGCCTCATTGCCCAAACCCTGGAAATTCCATCTTTCCAGTTTTCAGAAGCCTCTTCAGCTGCCTGAATTGTTTTGCCTTCATTTTAACCCAAAATAGTTTTTCCTTTCTCAGTGAACGAACCACATTCACCCCTACAAAGGCCAATTTCCCTGCTGATGCTGTGATCGATAAGTACAGATCTCATTCTGAAAGACTTGCTGCTCTCCCCGCCCCACTTTCAGAAGAACATGAAGTAGTCAGGATTTTAAACTGTAGGGTGGCTTAGGAGAACTCCAGCGTTCATATTGTTGACTGATTAAATGTCATGAAGGAAAAGCAAATGTAGAAGAGAAACGGAGATTTGGCTGGCAGCTGCAGGAGGTTGTAAAGCATGTAATATCATGGAAACTGCCAATGCTTTGCTACTGTCGACTTATAATTAGAGATGCCATTTTAAGGTGAATTTTGACATTTACTGCTACTAGTTGACTTTTTCAGTAATATCTAGCCCCATATTAGAGTACTGTTTCTTTTTTTAGGACGTTAAGTAAACCCAGAGGTGTCAGGTTCAATCCAGGAATCCATGAGCATATTATAAAACCATTTTATGTCTTAAAACACAAGTTGTTATTAACAGTAACACATGCACGGTCATATACATGAATATGATTATAATCATAAAGTTTATAAAAATAAAATTATAAACTTGTATTATTTGGATGCAAGTGATTACAAAGCTTTTTTCCCACCCCTAGCAATATCCAATGGATTCATCAATGCATTGTTTAAATAACCACCCTCGAATGTATAAAAATGATGTATTTGAAGTCTGTTTGGTCACACACTTTCATGTTTCCCAAAACTATGCACATAACCTAGTACACTAAGTATTAAATGGTTTACATGCTGTTTAAAAGATACACTTGTTTGATTTATTTTTCATCAGTGGGATAAAAATTGACCCAATTTTTCTGTTAGTTATAAGCTAGCACATTAGATGGGTTTAGAGCTTCCACTGATTTCAAAGGAAGCATTAGGTTCTATTAGCTCCTTGAAGCATGAAAGACCGAACAGATTCACTATATAAATGCTGGAAACATCTAATTATGCATTTATTTTCTGAAGATTTTAAACCTAGCTATCAGTGCAAGCAATGTATCTTTGACATTTGTAAAACACCTGCAGCCATTAAAAATTGACCCCTTCCCACCTCCAATCTTTCTAAAACAGATGCAAATAATCCCAGAAGATCCTTTGGAGGGAAATGTAATATTTGTTTTATAGAACAATCACAAAGTTGTCGAATTTCAGAGCTGGATTGGTTCCTGAGGATCATCTGGTTTGGATCTCATTTTGTAGCTGGGAAGGAAATCAAGTTCTGGAAAGATGGCAGGGCCATATCTAAACTGCATTTCCTGGCACTCAGGCTAGGAATCTTCCATTTCTCTTATGTACTGGATATGTGCATTAAGTAAGTGTAGCTGGATTTACTTGAATCTATAATAGACATATTTTAGAAATAAGACATTAACTCTTTCAAGAACAATGGGCTCAAGTATAACTGATAGAACTCCTAAGGAAGAAAATATTTCTTCCATTAAGTTGTACCACAGGCTTTACCCTAGTCCATAGCCCTTGGATTGGATCTTAATTACTTTTAATTCTCTTATGATGTGAAAGAGAAATTACTTAGATAAGGTGAACTGAAGAATTAAGCAGAACAGATTCTGATATACATGAAATTAGTGTACACTTAATTCTTAGGTTTGGGCTCTGTAACCAAAATAGAAAATATCAGTTTAAGGGAGAAATAGATGCAAGTTTAGGACATAAGAACAATGATAAATGTGAATGCACTTTAAAGAGGGTGGGAGCTCTGGAAATTATTAATACATCATATGATGTAAACATGTAGATTTTGTCTAATCTTTGAAAAACGTTCATCACAAATATAAAATATTAATATCCTTAACATATAAACAGCTGGTAGAAATTGATGTAAGAAAAACACTTAAAACTAATAGAAAAATGGCCTAAGGACATGAAGTGGCATTTGCAATGAACATGAACAATATTTTAGCTATTAATAATATAAGAAATGCAGATTTTTAAGGCTTATAATTTTTACCTACAAAAGTAGCTAAGTTTGTCTTTTTCAGTAATATCTTTTTATTCTTTAATAAAGACATTTGTTGACCAGAATGTGGTAAAATATACAATGCATACTACATATACTGTACAAATGTACAAGTACTATATGATCTTTCTGGAAAATGGCTTAAAATTATATATCAAGACTCTAAAAATATATGTAGAACCTTACCCTGTAAACTCATTTCAAGGAATATATCTCAAGGATCAGATGCAGATCAACATTTATGGGTATAAAGATTCATTACAACATCATTTATAATTATGAAAAATCATAATCAAAATGTACAGGCACAAATGGCTAAATAAATCATAAAACATCCATGGGAGGGAATTTTGTAGTCTTCAGGAACTGTGTTTTCACATGATACACAGAAAGAAAGAAGAATTCTGACAACATAATGTTAAATGAAAAATAAGAATAGTTTCCATCAAATTTGGAAAAATGTCAGCTATTATCTCTTCAAATATTTTTTTCTGTCCTCATACCCCAAACCTTTTTTCAGTTACTCCAATTACACATATATTAGGCCACTTGAAGTTGCTCCATAGTTCACTGAGGCTCTGTTCATTTTTCTTTGGATTCTATTTTTTCTGAGTTTTATTTTTGATATTTTCAGTTGCCATGTTTTCAAGTTTTCATTAGTATGTTTTCTTTTGCATTGCTGAATTTACTTGTTATTCTAGCCAGTATGTTTCTCATCTTAGACTGAATTTTTATCTCCAGAAGTTTTTTCAGTCTTTTTATATATCTTTCAGATCTCTACTTATCTTTTAAAATATGGAACACAGTTTTGATGTAAGTTTCAATATTTTAATGTTCTCATATGCCAATTCTAACATCTGTCAATTCTGGTTCAAATTTGATTATTATATTTCTTAATTGGGTCATATTTCCTACTTGTTTTCATGCTTGTAATTTTTGATCAAATACCAGACATGATAAATTTTACCTTGCTTGATGTTGGATATATTTTTATATTTCTATAAATATTTTTGAGGGCTTTTTTGGGATGAAATTGACTTACTTGGAAACATTTTGATCTTTTGGGGTCTTTTTAACTATGTTAGGCCAGAACACAGCAATACTAAATCTAAGGCCAATTATTTCCTGCTGTTGAGGCAAGAACCTTCTGTGTACTCCACCTAATTCTAATCTGACTAATGGGAGCAAGCACTGTTCCTGGTCCTGTGTGGGCACTGGGCAGTCTTGCCACTAATTCTTTTAGGTGTTTTTTCCCCCAGTGTTGGGTTATTTCCTCACATGCATGCACTGAATATTCGAGGGAGTTCCTCTATGGATCTTCGACGTTTTGCTCACCCCGTTAGATACTATCTGGACAACTCTGTTTACCTCTGTCTTCTCAGACTGTCAAGTTCATCTCCTGGTTACCCTTCTCCTGCACTACAGCCTAGAGACTCTCTCAAGGCAATAAACTGGGGCAAATATAGGACTCAACTTGTTTGCTGTTTCTCAGAGATTTTGGCCCTTCATTTCCTGCTTTTCAGTGTCTTGCAAATTATCATTTTATATATTTTCACTTTTTATTTTAGGAAGGAGTGCACATTTGGTCAGTTATCCCATTTTGTCTGGAAGTAGATGCCCTTACCTTTATGATGTTCTTCATTTTCCCCAAAAATTATTAAAAATTTATTCATCTGTATGTAGTAGAGTATCAGGAGGAGCCTCACCACACACAGAAAATAGGATCATATAAATAATCCCGTTAGTTTAAAAATAGATATATTCAGAATACTAGTACATGCATATATGTTCACATTAAGAGAAGAAAATATAAAAATATTAGCAACAGTGCTGATCCCTGGGATTATGGATGATTTGTATTCATTTTAATACTTTTCTAAATTATCTTCCATGAAAAGATATTAATTTTACTAAAATGAATATTATCTATTATATAAATATATACAACTTTTGGAAAAAGAAAACCGACTTTTATTTTGCTTGAAAATAACAAGGTAAGACCAATGAGTGGCATATATATATGGGGGGGATACATATACCTCCCTAACACACAGAGTCATGCGTTGCTTAATAATGGGGATATGTCCTGAGAAATACATCAGCAAGCAATTTCAACATTGTATGAACATCATAGAGTATATGTATACAAACCTAGATTTTATATATAATATATAATATATATATTTTACATATATAATTATAATATAATATATAATATATAATTTATAGACAATATAATATATAATTATATATAATATGTAATTATAATATATAATTATATATAATATGTAATTATATATAATATGTAATTATAATATATAATTATATATAATATGTAATTATAATATATAATTACATATTTTATATGTTATAATTATAATAAATTATAATTATTTATATAATTATAATAAATTATAATTATTATAATTATAAATTATATTATATAATAGATAATATATTATATAATTATAATAAATATATAATATAATTATATATTATATATTATATATTATTGTATATTAATATATTAATTATATTAGTTATATTAATATATATTGATATATTATAATATAACATTAATATATTATATATTGTATTATATATAATTGTATATAAATATATATAATATTTATTATAATATAATATATAAATTATGTATTATATATTATATATAAAATCTAGGTTTGTATACATATACTCTATGATGTTCATATAGTATTTGTGAACTTTATATTTTATATATGTTTCATCTGCATCAAATATACATAAAAATATAGTTTTCATGTGGAAAATTGTCATTAGGCATCCACCTTATGTGGAAAACTCTCTCAGCACAATTACTGCATATCAACTATTTTCCCTACTTGAACTGCAATGCTAATATCAAGTGCCATATATCAGGTTTCTTTAAACAAGGGGACTTCAAAAAGTTTGTAAAAAAAAAATTAAAATATAAAAGTAAGAAATATATAAACTTTCTCAACATAAGCTCCATTAAGTTCAAGGCACTTTTTACGTAACAATATCAGACATTTAGTTCATCCCTCAAGTCCTGTACTGGGAATTTAACAATGTTAATGTAGTCTCTTTTACATTATTAACTGAAGAAAAACAGGTGTCCTTAAAGAATTTTTAAGATTCAAAAACAGAGAGAAGAAGGAGTGAAATTAGAATGGTAAGGCGGATGCCTAATGATTTCTGATTGAAACTCTCACAAAATTGCCCTTGTTTGGTGAGAGGAGTGAGCTGAAGCATTGTTGTGGTGGAGGAGTACTCTCTGGTGAAGCTTCTGGGCATTTTTCTGCTAATGCTTTGGCTACCTTTCTCAAAACACTCTCATAATAAGCAGATAATGTCATTTTTTGACCCTCCAGAAAGTCAACAAGGAAAATGCCTTGAGTATCCCAAAAACCTGTTGCCATGACATTTGCTCTTGACTGGTTGATATGGTTAGGTTTTGTGTCCCCACCCCAGTCTCATCTTGAATTATAATCCCCATAATCCCCATGTGTCTTGGAAGAGACCAGGTGGAGGTAATTGAATCGTGGGAGCAATTTCCCTCATGCTGTTCTCGTGATAGTGAATGAGTTCTCATGAGATTTGATGGTTTAATAATGGACTCTTTTCACACTTCACTCAGCACTTCTCCTTCATGCTGCCTTGTGAAGAAGGTGCTTTGCTTTCTCTTCACCTTCTGCTGTGATTTTAAATTTCCTGAGGCCTCCGAGCCATGCTGAATTGTGAGTCAGTTAAACCTCTTTCCTTTATAAATTACCCAGTCTTTGGCAGTTCTTTATAGTAGTATGAAAACAGACTAATACACTGGTCCACTTTTGCTTTGACTGGACCACTGCCACCTCTTAGTAGCCATTGCATTGATTATGCTTTGTCTTTAGGATCGTACTGATAAAACCATGCTCCATCTCCTATTACAATTCTTTGAAGAAATGCTTCAGAATCTTGATCCGACTTATTGAAAATTTCCGTTTGTCTGCAGCTGATCTGGGCATAACAATTTTAGCAACCATCAAGTGTATAGTTTGTTCAGCTTTAATTTTTCAGTCAGAATTGTGTAACCTGAACAAATTTAGATGTCTATGGCATTCGCTGTTGTTTCTGCTGTTAATCGTTGACCCTCTTCAGTTAGAGCATGGAAAAAATGAATTTTCTTCCTTGCAAACTGATGTGGGTGGTCTGCCACTGCAGGTGCCATCTTCAATATCTTCTCACTCCTTTTTAAAATGAGCTATCCATTTGTAAACTGCCAATTTCTTTGGGGCATTAGCCCCATAAACTCTTCATAAAGCATCAATGATTTCACCATTCTCACACCCAAGCTTCAGTGTAAATTCAATGTTTGTTCTTGCCTCAATTTTAGCAGGATTCATGTTGCTGTGATAGGGGCTCTTTTCAAACTGATGTCTCATCTTTCTTAGAGACTCAACTAGATCCTGTTCAGTATGAGTTTATTTTGTGTAAAAAATTGGAAATTCATGCATACTTTTTCATAATATGCATTTTCTATGAATTTTTTGAAGACCCTATATGCTTCATTATAGTCTTATGGGACCACCATCGTGTATACAGTCCATCATTGACTGAAATATCATTATGTGGTACATACTGTACATATACGGCATATCTGATTTCAGAAAGGGAATGAGGTGTATTTACCAATGAATGGAACACCTAATAATGGACATAGTAATTTCACTTTCTGAAGATTCTTCTCCAAAAGGTGAATGACCAACATTCAGGGAGTCTAGGCAGGGATATTTCAATGTTTGGTGTTAGGACCACATAACAGCTAAGCTCCTTTCAACTCTAAATTTCTGTGCCTGATATTTCTTTTTAGAAAAAAAAATGATGGTTAGTAAATTACTAAGTTTCAAGGGCAGACTGACTCTCTTGAAAAGAGGTAACTTTGTACAGCCTCTTCATAGTCAAGAATGAATGTTTTTTATAGTACTTTTAGATAAAGTGATTTCTGGGACTGCAATGAAATTTGACTTCTGCATTGTTCATAACTGGCTAAGTGAACAATTTTATGTAATTGTGAGGAGATAAAAGACAGTGAAAAGGCTAAAAATCAAATACAGCCTAATATAGACTCTATTTGAAAGGACCTTATTAAGCTAAGTAGAAATAAAATACTCTCTTAGGAACTGAGAAGAGTGTGCTCCAGAGAAAAGCAAAATCAGAGGGTCGTGATGCTGGAAAGGACCCTAGATGTCTTCTAGTTCATTGTTCCCAAGTGTGACTACAGACTGCCTGAGTTTGAGTCCTGACTCTGCCACTTACAAGCTACATGGCTTTTTATAAAGCCTTAACTTCTCTGTGCCACAATTTCCCACCTGTAAAATTAGTATTAAAATGGATGTTGTGAAGATTATATGAGTAAATACAAATAAATAGCTTAGAACAGCACATGGCACCCAGCAAAATTTAGATAAATGTCAGCTGTTGTTATTTTAGGTGTATAGGATGGACTTAAAAAATTAATGTCCATGTAATTAATGTACACACAAAAATAAATAGCTCATTAACTTGGTTTATTATATAGATATCATTGCTTATGATTATTGTGGGAATGGCATAAAGTTAAGAGCACTAGTTTAATTTTTATTTAAGCAAATACTAATACAATTATGTGTGGATATTGCAAAATCATACTGGTGCTATACAAAAGACTTAAGTACATCGCCCTCAAAAAACAAATGAGATAAATGAGGCCCAAAGAGGAAAAAAAATATTATACAAGAAGTTGAAAGTGAAGCAAGATGAGAATTTAAATCGCTTGAGTCTCACTTCACTGCCTTTCTAGTCTGTTCTTCTCAGCCTTCCTTCCTACCTCTTACCTACATATTGATCTCTACTTTTGTAGGGACACAGTCAATAGCTCACTTTCTTCAGAGTTCCCTTTTTCTCTGTCCCATCTTACTCATGCTATACATTGAATTTGCTTAGTTTCAATAACAAGCCATAAGAATTAACACTGGCTGACAAAATGAAATGATTATTTAGTCCAAATGTGACAAATAAGGCAAGTGATAGTCATTAAAGGTTAAAAAATAAAGCAAGTAACATGTTTAAATAAGACATGAAAGTAAGAAAGAGCTCTTTTCAATATTCTTCATGCATGAAAAGCATTCCAGTCAGTACTGGAATTGAGCCTCTGTTGGGGTTGAGAAGAAATGATGCCAGGAACCTATGCTGGCTAAGGAAGTAAAATTGCAAGAAATGAAAATCACTGACCATTAATTTTAACTCTTGATAGTAAAATGATGCACATAAAATGAATATGGCTGCATGAATGCCATGCAGAAATTAATTACTCATAGGTATTATGTATTTTTCACTCAAGGAACTCCGTTGTAATGGAAGTGGATATTCACAGTTCAGTGACACTTGCTGTGATAGAAATAGGTAGGGCTCAAATGAAGCATAATAGAACAGATACACAACTCTGTCCAGAAGTTAAAAGAGGATATATCAGTATGCTGACCCTTCAGTTGAACCTTACAGGATAAGTAGAAACTTTTTGGAGGATAATATAAAGGAAGAGCAACTCAAGCTGAGTGTATTAGTTCATTCTCACACTACTGATAAAGACATACCCGAGACTGGGTAATTTATAAAGAAAAAGGGGTTTAGTGGACTCACAGTTCCACATGACCAGGGGGCCTCACAATCATGGCAGGAGGTGAAAGACACATGTTACATGGTGGCAGGCAAGAGAGAATAAGAACCAAGCAAAAAGGGAAACCCCTTATAAAACCATCATATCTTGTGAGACTTACTCACTACCGTGAGAACGGTACGGGGAAAACTTCCTCCATGATTCAGTTATCTTCCACTGGGTCTCTCCCACATGTAGGACTTCTGGGAGCTACAATTCAAGATGAGATTTGGATGGGGACACAGCCAAACCATATCACTGAAGAAAGGCAAATATGAAAAGTGAAAGTTGGGTGACTTCAGAGCATGGCAAATCATTTGATATAACTGAATCATAGGGTTCTCATAGCATGGAATAGCGAGGTATTCAGTGGTAAAAGTAGATGCAGGCAGGTGGAGATACAAAGCCAATATTGTTTTTTGTTTTGTTTTGTTTTTGTTCCTGTATGAGACATATCTTTTGTACTGAGATTTTTTTCTTTTTCTTTTTTTTTTTTTTTTACTTTAAGTTCCAGGATACATATACAGAGTGTGCAGGTTTGTTACATGAGTATACGTGTGTCATGGTGGTTTGCTGCACCTATTGACCCATCTTCTAAGTTCACTCCCCTCATTCCCCACCCCACAACAGGCATTGGTGTGTGTTGTTCACCCCCCTGTGTCCATGTGTTCTCATTATACAACTACCCCTTATGAGTGAGAACATACAGTGTTTGGTTTTCTGTTCCTGTGTTAGTTTACTGAGGATGATGGCTTCCAGCTTCATCCATGTCCCTGCTAAGGACATAGTCTCATTTTTTTATGGCTGCATAGTATTCCATGGTATATATGTACCACATTTTCTTATCCAGTCTAACATTGATGGGCATTTGGGTTGGTTCCATGACTTAGCTATTGTAAATAGTGCTGCAATAAACATACGTGTGCATTTGTCTTTATAGTAGAATGATTTATTTTCCTTTGGGTATATGCCCAGTAATGGGATTGCTGGGACAGATGGTATTTCTGCTTCTAGATCTTTGAGGAATCACCATACTGTCTTCCACAATGGTTGAACTCATTTACATTCCCACCAACAGTGTAAAAGCATTCCTATTTCTCCACAGCCTCACCAGCATCTATTCTTTCTTGACTTTTTAATAATTACCATTCTGGATGGTCCCAAGATGGCCGAATAGGAAGAGCTCCAGTCTACAGCTCCCAGTGTGAGTGATGCAGAAGACAGGTGATTTCTGCATTTCCATCTGAGGCACTGGGTTCATCTCAGTGGGGTTTGTCGGACAGTGGGTGCAGCCCACAGAGCAGGGCGGGGCATCGCCTTACCCAGGAAGTGCAAGGGGTTGGGGAATTCCCTTTCCTAGCCAAGGGAAGCCATGACAGATGGTACCTGGAAAATCAGGACACTCCCACCCTAATACTGCGCATTTCCAACGGTCTTAGCAAACAGCACACCAGTAGATTATATCCGGCACTTGGCTCGGAGGGTCCCATGCCCATGGAGCCTCACTCACTGCTAGCACAGCAGTCTGAGATTGAACTGCAAGGCGGCAGCGAGGCTGGGGGAGGGGCGTCCGCCATTGCCGAGGCTTGAGTAGGTAAACAAAGTGGCTGGGAAGCTTGAACTGGGTGGAGCCCACTGCAGCTCAAGGTGGCCTGCCTGCCTCTGTGGACTCCACCTCTGGGGGCAGGGCATAGCTGAACAAAAGGCAGCAGAAACTTCTGCAGAGTTAAACCTCCCTGTCTGACAGCTTTGAAGAGAGTAGTGGTTCTCCCAGCACAGAGTTTGAAATCGGAGAAAGGACAGACTGCCTCCTCAAGTGGGTCCCTGACCCCTGAGTAGCCTAACTGGGAGACACCTCCCAGTAGGGGCCAACTGACACCTCATACAACCGGGTGTCCCTCTGAGATGAAGCTTCCAGAGGAAGTATCAGGCAGCAACATGTGCCGTTCTGCAATATTTGCTGTTCTGCAGCCTCCGCTGGGGATACTCAGGCAAACAGGGTCTGGAGTGGACCTCCAGCAAACTCCAACAGACCTGCAGCATTTCCAGGGTCATGACTGTTAGAAGGAAAACTAACAAACAGAAAGGACATCCACACCAAAACCCCATCTGCACATCACTATCATCAAAGACCAAAGGTAGATAAAACCACAAAGATGGGGAGAAACCAGAGCACAAAAGTTGAAAATTCTAAAAATCAGAGCACCTCTTCTCCTCCAAAGGAACACAGCTCCTTGCCAGCAACAGAACAAAGCTGAACGGAAAATGACTTTGATGAGTTGAGAGAAGAAGGCTTCAGATGATCAGTAATAACAAACCTCTCTGTGCTAAAGGAAGATGTTCACACCCTTTGCAAAGAAGCTAAAAACCTTGAAAAAAGATTAGACGAATGGCTAACTAGGATAAACAGTGTAGAGAAGACCTTAAATGACCGGATGGAGCTGAAAACCATGCCACGAGAACTACATGATGCATGCACAAGCTTCAGTAGCCGATTCGATCAAGTGGAAGAAAGGGTATCAGTGATTGAAGATCAAATGAATGAAATGAAGCGAGAAGAGAAGTTTAGAGGAAAAAGATTAAAAAGAAATGAACAAAGCCTCCAAAAAGTATGGGACTATGTGAAAAGACCAAATCTACATCTGATTGTTGTACCAGAAAGTGACGGGGAGAACAGAACCAAGTTGGAAAACACTCTGCGAGATATTATCCAGGAGAACTTCCCCAACCTAGCAAGGCAGGCCAACATTCAAATTCAGGAGATACAGAGAATGCCACAAAGATATTCCTCAAGAAGAGCAACTTCAAGACACATAATTGTCAGATTCACCAAAATTGAAATGAAGGAAAAAATATTAAGGGCAGCCAGAGAGAAAGGGCAGGTTACCCACAAAGGGAAGCCGATCAGACTAAGAGTGGATCTCTCAGCAGAAGCTCTACAAGCCAGAAGAGAGTGGGGGCCAATATTCAACATTCTTAAAGAAAAGAACTTTCAACCCAGAATTTCATATCCAGCCAAACTAACCTTCATAAGTGAAGGATAAATAAAATCCTTTACAGACAAACAAATGCTGAGAGACTTTGTCACCACTAGGCCTGCTTTACAGGAGCTCCTGAAGGAAGCACTAAACATGGAAAGGAACAACCGGTACCAGCCACTGCAAAAATGTGCCAAATTGTAAAGACCATCGATGCTAGGAAGAAAGTGCATCAACTAACAAACAAACTAACAACTAGCAAAATAACCAGCTAACATCATAGTGACATGGTCAAATTCACACATAACAATATTAACTTTAAATGTAAATGGGCTAAATGCTCCAATTAAAAGACACAGACTGGCAAATTGGATAAAGACTCAAGAACCATCAGTGTGCTGTATTCAGGAAACCCATCTCACGTGCAGAGACACACATAGGCTCAAAATAAAGGGATGGAGGAAGATCTACCAAGCAAATGGAAAACAAACAAACAAAAAAGCAGGGGTTGCAGTCCTAGTCTCTGATAAAACAGACTTTAAACCAACAAAGATCAAAAGAGACAAAGAAAGCCATTTCATAATGGTAAAGGGATCAATTCAACAAGAAGAGCTAACTATCCTAAATATATATGCACCCAATACAGGAGTACCCAGATTCATAAAGCAAGCCCTTAGAGACCTACAAAGAGACTTAGACTCCTACACAATAATAATGGGAGACAACCCCCCACTGTCAACATTAGACAGATCAACAAGACAGAAAGTTAACAAGGATATCCAGGAATTGAACTCAGCTCTGCACCAAGTGGACCTAACAGACATCTACAGAACTCTCCACCCCAAATCAAGAGAATATACATTCTTCTTAGCACCACATCACACTTATTCCAAAATTGACCACATAGTTGGAAGTAAAGCACTCCTCAGCAAGTGTAAAAGAACAGAGAACTTATAACAAACCATCTCTCAGACCACAGTGCAATCAAACTAGAACTCAAGATTAAGAAACTCACTCAAAACCGCTCAACTACATGGAAACTGAACAACCTGCTCCTGAATGACTACTGGGTACATAACGAAATGAAGGCAGAAATAAAGATGTTCTTTGAAACCAATGAAAACAAAGACACAACACACCAGAATCTCTGGGACACATTTAAAGCAATGTGTAGAGGGAAATTTATAGCACTAAATGCCCACCGGAGAAAGCAGGAAAGATCTAAAATTGACACGCTAACATCACAATTAAAAGAACTAGAGAAGCAAGAACAAACACATTAAAAAGCTAGCAGAAGGCAAGAAATAACTAAGATCAGAGAAGAACTGAAGGAGATAGAGACATAAAAAAACCTTCAAAAAATCAATGAATCCAGGAGCTGGTTTTTTGAAAAGATCAACAAAATTAATAGACCACTAGCAAGACTAATAATGGAGAAAAGAGAGAAGAATCAAATAGACACAATAAAAAAATGATAAAGGGGATATCACCACTGGTCCCACAGAAATACATACAAACTACCCTCAAAGAACACTATAAACACCTCTACACAAATAAACTAGAAAATCTAGAAGAAATGAATAAATTCCTGAACACATACACCCTCCCAAGACTAAACCAGGAAGAAGTTGAATCCCTGAATAGACCAATTACAGGCTTTGAAGTTGAGGCAATAATTAATAGCCTACCAACCAAAAAAAGTCCAGGACTAGACAGATCCACAGCTGAATTCTACCAGAGATACAAAGAGGAGCTGGTACCATTCCTTCTGAAACTATTCCATTCAATAGAAAAAGAGGGAATCCTCCCTAACTCATTTTATGAGGACAGCATCATCCTGATACCAAAGCCTGGCAGAGACACAACAATAAAAGAGAATTTTAGACCAATATTCCTGATGAACAATGATGTAAAAATCCTCAATAAAATACTGGCAAACCAAATCCAGCAGCACATCAAAAATCTTATCCACCACGATCAAGTGGGCTTCATCCCTAGGATGCAAGGCTGGTTCAACATATGCAAATCAATAAACTTAATCCGTCATATAAACAGAACCAAAGACAAAAACCACATGATTATCTCAATAGATGCAGAAAAGGCCTTTGACAAAATTCAACAACGCTTCATGCTAAAAACTCTCAATAAACTAGGTATTGATGGAACATATCTCAAAATAATAAGAGCTATTTATGACAAACCCACAGCCAATATCATACTGAATGGACAAAAATTGGAAGCATTCCCTTTGAAAACTGGCACAAGACAGAGATGCCCTCTCTCACCACTCCTATTCAACATAGTGTTGGAAGTTCTGGCCAGGGCAAATCAGGCAGGAGAAAGAAATAAAGGGTATTCAATTAGGAAAAGAGGAAGTCATATTGCCCCTGTTTGCAGATGCCATGATTGTATATTTAGAAAACCCCATTGTCTCAGCCCAAAATCTCCTTAAGCTGATAAGCAACTTCAGCAAACTCCCAAGATACAAAATCAATGTGCAAAAATCACAGCATTCCTATACACCAATCACAGACAAACAGAGAGCCAAATCATGAGTGAACTCCCATTCACAATTGCTTCAAAGAGAATAAAATACCTAGGAATCCAACTTACAAGGAACATGAAGGACCTCTTCAAGGAGAACTACAAACCACTGCTCAATGAAATAAAAGAGGATACAAATGGAAGAACATTCCATGCTCACAGATAGGAAGAATCAATATCGTGAAAATGGCCATACTGCCCAGGATAATTTATAGATTCAATGCCATTCCCATCAAGCTACCAATGACTTTCTTCACAGAATTGGAAAAAACTACTTTAAAGTTCATATGGAACCAAAAAAGAGCCCACATTGCCAAGACAATCCTAAGCAAAAAGAACAAACCTGGAGGCATCACGCTACCTGACTTCAAATTATACTACAAGGCTACAGTAACCAAAACAGCATGGTACTGGTACCAAAACACACACAGACCAATGGAACAGAGCAGAGTCCTCAGAAATAACACCACACATCTACAACCATCTGATCTTTCACAAACCTGACAAAAACAAGAAATGGGGAAAGGATTCCCTATTTAATAAATGGTGCTGGGAAAACTGGCTAGCCACATGTAGAAAGCTGAAACTGGATTCCTTCCTTACACCTTATACAAAAATTAATTCAAGATAGATTAAAGACTTAAATGTTAGACCTAAAACCATAAAAACCCTTAAAGAAAACCTAGGCAATACCATTCAGGCCATAGGCATGGGCAAGGACTTCATGACTAAAACACCAAAAGCAATGGCAACAAAAGCCAAAATTGACAAATGGGATCTAATTAAACTAAAGAGCTTCTGCACAGCAAAAGAAACTACCATCAGAGTGAACAGGAAACCTACAAAAAGGGAGAACATTTTTACAACCTACTCATCTGACAAAGGGCTAATATCCAGAATCTACAAAGAACTTAAAAATTTACAAGAAAAAATCAAACAACCCCATCAAAAAGTGGTCAAAGGATATGAACAGACACTTCTCAAAAGAAAGCATTTATGCCCCCAACAGACACATGAAAAAATGCTTATCATCACTGGGTATCAGAGAAATGCAAATCAAAACCACAACTAGATACCATCTCACACCAGTTAAAATGGCGATCATTAAAAAGTCAGGAAACAACAGGTGCTGGAGAGGATGTGGAGAAACAGGAACACTTTCACACTGTTGGTGGGACTGTAAACTAGTTCACCCATTGTGGAAAACAGTGTGGCAATTCCTCAAGGATCTAGAACTAGAAATACCATTTGACCCAGCAATCCCATTACTGGGTATATACCGAAATGATTATAAATCATGCTGCTATAAAGACACATGCACACGTATGTTTATTGTGGCACTATTCATAATAGTAAAGACTTGGAACCAACCCCAATGTCCATCAATGATAGACTGAATAAAGAAAATGTGGCACATATACACCATGGAATACTGTGCAGCCATAAAAAATGATGAGTTCATGTCCTTTGTAGGGACATGGTTGAAGCTGGAAACTATCATTCTGAGCAAAGTATTGCAAGGACAGAAAACCAAACACCACATGTTCTCATTCATAGGTGGGAGTTGAACAATGAGAACACTTGGACACAGAGTGAGGAACATCACACACCGGGGCCTGTCATGGGGTGGGGGGAGAGGGGAGGGATAGCATTAGGAGATATACCTAATGTAAATGATGAGTTAATGAGTGCAGCACACCAACATGGCACATGTATACCTATGTAACAAACCTGCACGTTGTGCACATGTACCCTAGAACTTAAAGTATAATAAAAAAAAATTAGATAGTGGTTGTGCTTGCATGACTTTCTGAATATACAAAAAATCACCAAATGGCATACTTTAAAAGGATGAATTTTATGTTATGTGAATTATATTCAAATATTAATAAAACTTATAGAAAAAAATAATAATTACCATTCTGATTGGTGTGAGATGGTATCTCATTGTGGTTTTGATTTGCATTTCTCTAATGATCAGTGATGTTGAGCTTTTCTTCATATGTTTGTTGGCTGCATAAATGTCTTCTTTTGAGCACTGTCTGTTCATAATCGTTTTCCCACTTTTTGATGGGGTTGTTTTTTTCTTGTAGATTTGTTTAAGTTCCTTTAACTTTTGCATATTAGACCTTTGTTAGATAGGTAGATTGTAAAAAATTTTTTCCGTTTTGTAAGTTGCCTGTTTGCTCTGATAGGTTTTTTGTTTTTTTTTTTTTTGAGATGAAGTCTCACACTGTCACTAGGCTGGAGTGCAGTGGCACAATCTCGGCTCACTGCAACCTCTGCCTCCCAGGTTCAAGCAATTCTGTTTCAGCCTCCTGAGTAGCTGGGACTACAGGCATGCACCACCACGCCCAGCTAATTTTTGTGTTTTTAGTAGAGAGGGGGTTTCACCATGTTGGCCAGGATGGTCTTGATCTCTTGACCTCATGATCCACCCGCCTCAGCCTCCTAAAGTGCTGGGATTACAGGTGTGAGCCACCACGCCCAGCCAATGGTAGTTTCTTTTGCTGTGCAGAAGCTCTTTAATTAGATCGTATTTGTCAGTTTTTGCTTTTGTCGCAATTGCTTTTGGTGTTTTTGTCATGAAATCTTTGCCCATGCCTATGTCCTGAATGGTATTGCCTAGGTTTTCTTCTAGGGTTTTTAGGGTTTTGGGGTTTACGTTTAAGTCTTTAATCCATCTTGAGTTAATTTTTATAAAAGGTATAAGGAAGGGTTCCGATTTCAGTTTTCTGCATATGGCTAGCCAGTTTTCCCACCACCATTTATTGAATAGGAAATCATTTCCCTATTGCTTTTTTTTGTCAGGCTTGTCAAAGATCAGATGGTTGTAGATGTGTGGTGTTATTACTGAGGTATCTGTTCTGTTCCATTGGTCTATGTGTCTGTTTTGGTACCAGTACCATGCTCTTTTGGTTACTGTAGCCTTGTAGTATAGTTCAAAGTCAGGTAGCATGATGACTCCAGCTTTGTTCTTTTTGCTTAGGATTTTCTTGGATATATGGGGTCTTCTTTGATTCCATATGAAATTTAAAGTAGTTTTTTCTAATTCTGTGAAGAATGTCGATGTTAGTTTGATGGGAATGGCATTGAATCTATAAATTAGTTTGGGCAGTATGGCCATTTTCACAATATTGATTTTTCCTATCCATGAGGATGGAATGTTCTTCCTTTTGTTTGTGTCCTCTCTTATTTCCTTGAGCAGTGGTGTGTAGTTCTCCTTGAAGAGGTCCTTCACATCCCTTGTTAGCTGTATTCCTAGGTGTTTTGTTTTCTTTGTAGCAATTGTGAATGGGAGTTCATTCATTATTTGGCTCTCTGCTTGTCTATTGTTGGTGTATAGGAATGCTTGTGATTTTTGCACGTTGATTTTGTATCCTGAGACTTTGCTGAAGTTGCTTATCAGCTTAAGGAGTTTTTGGGTGAGATGATAGGATTTTATAAGTATATAGTCATGTCATCTGCAAACAGAGACAATTTGACTTCCTCTCTTCCTATTTGAAGGCCCTTTGTTTCTTTCTCTTGCCTGATTGCCCTAGCCAGAACTTCCAATACTATGTTGAATAGGAGTGGTGAGAAAGGGCATCCTTGTCTTGTACCAGTTTTCGAAGGGAATGCTTCCAGCTTTTGCCCATTCAATATGATATTGGCTGTGGGTTTGTCATAAATAGCTCTTATTATTTTGAGATGTGTTCCATCAATACCTAGTTTATTGAGAGTTTTGAACATGAAGGGATGTTGAATTTTATCAAAGGCCTTTTCTGCACCTACTGAGATAATCATGTGGTTTTTGTCATTGGTTCTGTTTATGTGATGGATTACATTTATTGATTTGCGTATGTTGAACCAACCTTGCAACCCAGGAAGGAAGCTGATTTGATCGTGGTGGCTAAGCTTTTTGATGTGCTGCTGGATTCGGTTTGCCAGTATTTTATTGAGGATTTTTGCATTGATCTTCATCAGGGATGTTGGCCTGAAGTTTTTTGTTGTTGTTGTGTCTCTGCCCGGTTTTGGTATCAGGATGATGCTGGCTTCGTAAAATGAGTTAGGGAAGATTCCCTCCTTTTCAGTTGTTTGGAATAGTTTCAGAAGGTTTGGTACCAGCTCCTCTTTGTACTTCTGGTAGAATTCAGCTGTGAATCTGTCTGATCCTGGACTTTTATTTTTTAGTTGATAGGCTATTACTGCCTCAATTTCAAACTGTTATTGGTCTATTCAGGGATACGATATCATCCTGGTTTCTGGGAGGATGTATGTGTCCAGGAATCTATTCATTTCTTCTAGATTTTCTAGTTTATTTGCATATAGTTGTTTATAACATTCTCTGATAGTAGCTTGTATTTCTGTGGGGTCAGTGGTGATATCCCCTTTATCATTTTTTATTGTGTCTATTTGATTCTTCTCTTTTTTCTTCCTTATTAGTCTAGTTAGCAGTCTATCTATTTTGTTAATTTTTTCAAAAAACCATCTCCTGGATTCATTGATTTTTTGGAGGGTTTTTCATGTTTCCATCTCCTTCAGTTCTGCTCTCATCTTAGTTATTTCTTGTCTTCTGCTAGTTTTTGGATTAATTTACTCTTGCTTCTCTAGCTCTTTTAATTGTGATGTTAGGGTATCGATTTGAGATCTTTCTAGCTTTCTAATGTGGGCATTTAATGCTATAAATTTCCCTCTTAACACAAAGCCAACATTCTATGCCTGTTCCATGTCACGGATGAGAAAGATGGTCTTATATAGAGGGTCATAAATACCCTTACCCTTGACTTGTCTGTGGTAAAAATATTTACCTATTCATTGATTCATTAGGTTAATCTTTATTCTTCCATCTATTTTATGATGTTGCTAGTTAACTCAATGCTAATACAAGATAGGAAAGCTGCTTGGCACAGGTTTTAGGAATATATACTTGGTCTATGTCGTCATTTTGGAAGAGCATTTCACGAAAAGTCAGACAAGCAGACTTACAGTTCTCACTGTAACTGTAAAGAACACACTGATCTTCTAAAAAGAGACTGTTTAAAACAAGTAAACATTTATTTCACCACTTCCTATGCAGATACTGTATAGGTCTTCTTGTTCCCACCTCACCATTCAAGGATAGCAGATAATAGTTATGTGAACACTTTCATATGATAAAATGAAAAGAACAATGTTATTCACTGCTTATAAGTCCGTAAATGTTGCCAATGCCTTTTGTTAATTAGCCAGCACTTCCGACATCATTTCTTTTAAAATCAAGACTCCTGGTTGCTGGCCCTAACATATAGCCCTTTGTGCAAAACTGTGCAGCTATTACAGAAGGGCAGATCTAATGGCTGAAGAAATGACTCGTTTAACCTAGATAGCTTTCTGCCTACAAACTGTAGAAATCATTCCTAAGATTTATTTCGATGCTATTGTGACAATCTCTTTCTAAAATTTCTCCAAATGCTTCGAGTACACTCTCTAATAAAACTCGCTATCATACTTTTTTCATTTTTCCTTGTAATGGGGAATTGAATCCTATAGTTTGCTTTGAGAGAAAAATAATGCTCTAAGATTTTGCACCCGTCAAGAGGGAATAATTCATTTCTGTCATTCTATTTAAATATAAGCCTCCTCAATACTATAAAAAGATGAAATATATATAACAATAAAAAGCACCACATTCCTCTTTCCTTCTCACTGAGCTCTTATTTTTGGTATGGTTCCAACTAGTACATTGAATGTACTTTCAAAATATTTTGTGATTATAAAACATAATCAAAAGTTTCTGAACATTTTTGACTTCAAAAATGCCTGGCACTTCTTTAAAATGTAGATTATTAATCCAGCTTCCTGGGCACTTTCCAGTTTGGGTAATTATATTCCACCTACCTAGGTTCCCTCTGGTGGTTTCAATTTGCATACAGAATTGTTCTTCACTTCCAGTTCTGAATTCTGATGGTGTTTACTTCTATATTGATACTTGTTTCATCAATCTCTCTTCATACCCAGAAGGTTTTTATGAAGCTGAAGAAATTACATTTTATACCTTCATATATATGCCCTTCTTTTGATACAAATGCACTTAAGACATACATCCAGCGTTCCATTTAAACTGTCCCCCTTTCTCTTTAATTCCATGGATGCACCCACTCACCCACAGAGTCTACATTTGTTTCTTTCTTTTTCTGTATATTTTTTTCAACTTGCTGGGTTTCTGGCAATGTTATAGGAAACCCATTTAGCAGGAGAATGTAAATTTCTCACTGGGCTATCCATCTCTAGATTAATATTGGCAAGAGTAAATTCTATTTGCTTAAGAAGTCTTAAGAGTGTAAGAAATGGTGAAATTTGTAATAGTTCCACCTGAAAATACATTTTCTAATACAAGAATGACAACAGCAACCACACAGTAATAATAGGTAACATTTATCCAACATTTATTATGGTCAGGCGTCCTACTAAGTGTCTTATATGTAATAGCTCATTTAATTCTCACAAAGTTCCATTAGGCAGGTGCTATTGTTTTCCCTGTTTTAAAGGTGAGGAAAATGAGGCACAGAGATTTTAAATAACTTGCTGAGAGTCACATAGGCAGTAAGTGACAAAGCTGTAATTCAAACCTAACCAATCTGGCTATAGAGTTTATATTTGTATTAGTCAGGATTCTCCAAAGAAATAGAAACAATAGGATGTAGACAGACAGATAGATAGATTTATTGTAAGGAATTGGCTCACATGATTATGGAAGCAGGCAACTCCCAAGATCTATAGGGTGACTCGGCAAGCTGGAGACCCAGGATAGCTAGCTGATGGTTTGGTCCCAGCCTGAGTGTGAAGGCCTGAAAACCGTGAGAGCCAGTGATGTAGTTCCTGTCCTAAGGTAAGCAAGCCTGGGACCCAGAAACAGCCAACGTTTCAGTTTGAGTCTGAAAGCAGGAAAAGAGCTAATGTCTCAATCCGAAGGTAGTCAAGTAGGAAGAATCCTCGCTAATAGAAAGAGGGACAGCCTTTTGTTCTATTCAGGACTTCAGCTGATGACATGAGGCACAAACATTAGGGAGGACAGGCTGCTTTAAGTAATCTACCAATTCAAACATTAATCTCATTCAGAAATACCCTCACATAAACATCCATCATGTTTGATCAAATATCAGGACACCCTGTGGCCCAGTTAAGCTGACATGTAAAATTAATCATCACTATAGTTTTAACCACTATTCTAATATTTCAGTTATGTGATATCCCAGTAATGAAAGATGATACAGGGTATATTTTCCTATTTTTGAGCATGAGTTGAAAACATGTTATTATTTCTTAAGGGATGGTTGGTCATAAAACATAATTTATGCTTATCCGAATATTTTGAAGCCAACTAATCTCCAAACTCTCTTAAATCAGATCCATGATACAGATTTCTGTGGCCAAAAGAGGTAAGAAACTTGGTTTTCTAGCTTTCCAAATGCTAAGAAACCATGTTTCCTAGCAACACTATGTGGATCCACATAAGGAATTTTCAAATACCATTTATAGTAAGTTCTTTTTATTCCCTACATTGCCACTTCACTCCAAACTCGTGATTACTAAAGAGAAAATGAGCTTTAAAATCTTTAAGTAATGTTCTTAAGAGGACATCATAGTGTTTAGCCAAAATGAATGCTGTTTGTAGTACTGCTTAGGCTTATTTAAAATTCTGTAGAGCTTCACTTTATTTTGTTCTCATTGCTACACCAATTGTAATATATGGCTATTACAAAAGGTTGTTAGTATTCAACAATGAAAACTTCAGTGATTGTCCTGAAATAAAATGGACAAAGTATAAGCACCATTATTTATATTTTATTTTATATGCATGTATATTTATGTATTTATGTGTGACTAGATGTATGTGTGTTTATCTAAATTAATGTGTATACATATGTGCACATACACATCCATTAAGATGCACCACTTGATTCCTAAAGACAAGACTCACACTTAGTGATTTTTAACCTTGAAAATCCTTGGCAAGCATGACTTTCAGCTGATAATATCAGATTTTATAGGGCAATAAAAATTAATGAAAATATAAGAGTGTTTCAATATGTGGAAAACTATTAATGACAACAGATTAAAGGGAAAAAAACATAACATTAACTCAGTAGGAGCTTAAGATATATTTGATAAAATTCCACACTCATAAAATTGAAAAATAAACCAAATTAGCAAACAATAAATGGAAGATAAATTTTTAAATTGACAAAAATTATCTATCTAAAACATAACTGCTCTTATTTAAAATATAATGGCAACCTGGCCAATGCAATGAGGTAAGAAAAAGAAATACAAGGCATAATGGTTGAAAAGGAAAACATAAACTGAAATTACATGGGATTTACAAGGTTGCAACCATAGAAAACCTAAAAGTAACTACAAACTATTAGGGAGTTTAGCCAGGTTCCTAGCTGTAGGATTAATACATGAAAACTGATAGTATTTGTAAATACCTGTAGTATACACATCTATTACATACAGTGTATATGTTATATATATGTTATATATAGTACACAGGTAACATATATGTTATATATAGTATACATATATACTATATATATTATACAAATATAGTATTCTTCCTACATAATAACAATAAATCTATAAATTACCTAGGCACAAATCTAATAAAATGTGTGAAAGACATTTGTGGAAAAAAATACAGAACAGTTTTGAAGGATATAAAAATGGAAACAAATGATACCATAGACCATATCCAAAATGGCTTGACTTAATATCATAGAGATGTTATTCATCTCTCAATTTACAGTATAAAACCATTATCATATTTCAACAAAGTTTTTTTTGGATCTTAACAAGCATATTCTAAAATTAATGAGGAAAAACAAGGAGCCAAAATTAGCTTGAAAATATGGGAGAACTTGCTTTGTCAGCTATCAAATCTTATGAAACTATTAGTAATTAAGATGATGTGGAATTAATACAGAAATAGACAAATGATAATGACATGGAAAAGACAGCCTAGAAGCAAATCCATTCATAAATGGAAATTGAAGGACAAACATTTGTGTACCAGCCCCTATTCGTGTAATCAAATATTATATTGCAGTATTTTCTCTATTTTAAAAATATAAAGCCCCTTGTCAACTTCTTTACCAACCTAATTCATGGAAGATGATAATCAACACATTTAAAGAAGAAGTATGAGAAATAGATTACAAAGTAATACATAGGGTGCTTCAAATGTATCTGATATGTTATGTCTTAATTCTCTGCAGCAAATTCATAGAGCTATGTAGTGATTGCTCTGATTCTTGTTCTCTATAATTTCTATAGAATTATAATATTTAAATCCATTTTTTAAAACCTAATATAAAAACAAATAGCTACCTCCAGGTCCAGATATAGTTAAACGAGTCACAATCATTCATTTGTTGCTATAATCGTTTGTTTAATCAGCTATCAGCAGAAGATAGATCAGGTTGATAGAGAACAAGGCTTATTTGATGTTGTGTTGTTTGAACTATTAGTCGAGGGAGTCCTCCATAGAAAAGACTACTGAACCAGTGATTGGGAGACATGGATTCTCTAGTCTCAACTCTGAAACAAATTGGCTGTGTGACCTCCAGCAAGAATTAGCCTTTGGAGAATTGTTTTTTCCACTACAGCTAAATAAAAAAGGTTGGCCTAGATCACATTTGATGTAGCAAACCTCATTAGAAATTGCTGGTTTTTGAGCTCTTATATCAGCATGTCAATTCTTGAAAGAAAAAAAAAAAAGACATTCAGTTGAGCTAAGCTCCAGAAAGAATCAAAAAGCACAAAGCAGGTGTTTTTCCACCACAACTCTCACTACCCAACTCCCTCCCCTATCTCTCATGCACACACACAAACTTCTTTGCCTCTTCCTTCTCATTTTCCCATAAAATGACAAGGAAGTGTCTTTCTCTTATTATAATCTTTTTCTTTGTCCAGGCTCTCCAGGACTGCCTGTTCACTGCCTTTTTCTGTTTCTTTTCCTGCAAACCTTTATATATAGTTTGAACTCAAGATTCAGGGAGAGTTTCACCCACTCTCTTGGGACCTTTGTTTGACTCCAGATTATTCACCCTTTCTCTATTCCAGTGTCAAGCCATTTTCCTTGGTCTACACTGCTTTCATTCCTACTTGTCGAGTTTTTGTCAGATATGCATACTGGCTACATTTTTGCATATAAACCTGGATTTTCCTCCCTGAAAAGAGACTTAAAGAAATTAGAGGCCATTTGAAATATTATATCATGCAATCCTGAAGAATCCAACAATCACAATTATACAGTTTTTCCTGTGCTAAAATAAAATGATTCTAAATTCATTCTGTCCCCACCTTCAGTCTAATAAGCAGAGTTGATCCTGGAAGGAAAAACTATTTTGAATTCATGCATTTTAATTGACCTTAAGTGCAAAAGTTAGAAGAAGGCAGAGCCAGGGACGACAAGGACCATTACATTGTACTTTCCAAAGTTGTGGATGCTACAAACCTGGGAGTGGAGTAATGGCTTAACTGACTGATGACAAAATCAAGATGCAGCATGATCTCCAGAGGCTATAACACTAGATAAAAACCATTAGAATGAAATTTACTAAGGATAAATATAAAATCCTTCCTTGAGGTTAAAAAAATCAACTGTATAAGAACAGATCACTAGATATGTGAAAATGAACACTAGATATGTGAAAATGAAATAGGAAATTTAACCAAGCTGGTTTGCAAAGAGATGCAGCTTTAACAAAGTGCTCATAAAATTATACTGCATTGGGAAAAGGACAGTGACCAGATCACCAGAAGTGGTAGCCTCTTTGGACCTGCTTAGCACATATTTATTTAAAAGTTTTAAAATGTCTTTGATATGCTAGACAGCATCCAGTTGATAAAAACCTGGATAATCTAGAAACCATCTGTCATGTAAAACCATCATCAGAAACTATCCCCCTATTCAATTACATGAAGGGCTCCAAATACCCTTATGTGTTGCTTATCTAGTAAAGGATTCAGTGGTGAAAGTTATGGGGGTGGGGGTAGGGAGACACACAAGAAAACACTTTCTAAATATTCAGCTTGTTCAGTGATGGAAAAACCTGCCTAGTAAAGTCTTTGCTAGGGGTTACAACAGAGATTTACTAGTATTTGATGGCATCGGGTCTAGAGACCCAGGAATGGCTGAATGCTTCCTTCTCAGTCATCCCCTACCCCACTTGCACCTTGTGAGGTTGCTGAGGGAGCAGTACACAAGAAACAATAACAGTGAACATTTAAAAATTACTTTATTAACAACTCCTCCAATAACTGTTGGTGATGAACTTCAGGAATTTCTGGATTGAAGCACAACACTAAGACCTTCTTTTCTTCCTGCCTTGCCCCCACCATATCCTCCCAAAATCTAAATTATAGGTCCAGAAAACCCCTGGAGTTCAAATTCTTGTGCATAGTCAAAATGCTTTATGAAAGTAAAAAGCATCCCCCAAAGTGTAGTTAAATTTCTGTTATGGAAATGGAAGTTAAAGAAAAAATAGATTTCAGTTCAACAAGGGAGGACATTTTACCATTTATGTAGGTTTCCATTAAAGGAGTTCACTGCTTTAGAAAGAAATGGGTTCTCCATTACTGGAGTCTGAATATTGTATGGCAGAGAAGTTGCTGGATGATTCAAGCCTTTAATGAAGTATAGAACCAGGTGATTTTAAAGATGCCTTCCTACCCTGGGCTTCTTTGATTCTAGGCTCCTTTCTGTGGTTATTCAAGCTTTCTTGACCATTGCTATGTATAGAGAGAATCCCCTATTTGACTCCTGATTTTAGCTGCAGTAACTTCACAAGAATTTTGATGAAACAAGATTTCTTGTTATATTTGTATTTCCAGGGATTCTGAGAGTAAGAATCTTTATATTCCTTTCTAGAAATATTGAGTTTTTCTCTGTCCTTGTAACTGTAAAGAACCACTTTTTTCAGAGCTAAAATATTCCCACAATCCTCTATCCTATTGCTAGACAGCATCATTATGCTAGGGAAACAATATTTTGAGATTGTTCTACTGTCCAAAGCTTTTGTCATCAATTTAGTGATAATTCCTGACATGAGTCAGATAATTATGAAATAATGTAATTTTATTTAAATTGATATCAGCAGAAATATACAATTTGTAAAATAGGTACTGATATAGTTTGGATGTTTGACCCCTCCAAATCTCATGTTGAAATGTGTTCCCCAATGTTGGAGATGGGGCCTGGTGGGAGGTGTTGGGTTCATGGGGGTAGATCCCTCATGAATGGCTTGGTACCCTCCCCACAGTAATGACTTCATGTGAGAACTGATTGTTAAAAAGAATTTAGGACCTCCCCCATCTCTCTCTCTCTTGCTCCCTCTCACACCATGTGATACACCTGCCCCCCACCGCCCTTGGCCTTCTGCTATGATTGTAAGCTTCCTGAGGCCTCACTGGAAGCAAATGCTGGTGCCATGATTCCTGTATAGTCTGCAAAACCATGAGCCAATAAGCCTCTTTTCCTTATAAATTACCCAGTCTCAGGTATTCCTTCATAGCAATGCAAAACAGACTAATATGGATACATTAACCTTTTTTTATGAATTCAAGGGAATCTCAAAGTACACATTCATTGCTAAAGATCAGGATGACTTCCTACCAAATTCAGAGATGAACAAATTACAATGGACTACTAAAATATATTATTTAATGTATTATAAGAGATCACCATCAGACATATTCCCAGAGCCTATGATAAACAGAGATCACTCAGAAAGCTAGGCAATTCTCAATTGTTTACTGATATATGAGTTCAGGGTGGCAGAGAAAATGTGCATCATTAGAATCCAAGAATATCTCATTTTATCCCTTATTTTCAGCCTTCTTTTCAATCAAAACTCTTTGTAAAGCTGTCAGCAGGAACAACATTGTCACAAATAAATGAGTTTCACCTCCTAACTCACGCTCTCTGAGAGGCAAAAGCTAGTAAAAGAAAACGGTAGAAGGGGGAAAGGAAAGCCAAGAATCAGCACTGCACAAAGAGTGCACAATTTTAAATTATAAGAAAATATAATAGACTAGAGAACGAGAACCTTCTGCTCAAATGTGAACTACCGCGTTAAGAAGACCCTCCCAGGTCCCTCTATTTAAAACAGTCTCCTGCAAGAATGGTCATAATTTTAAAAAATCAAAAAATAATAGATGTTGGCATGGATGTGGTGAAAAGGGAACACTTCTACACTGCTGGTGGGAATGTAAACTAGTACAACCACTACCGAAAACAGTATGGAGACTCCTTAAAGAACTAAAAGTAGAACGACCATTTGATCCAGCAATCCCACTACTGGGTATCTATCTAGTGAAAAAGAAGTCATTATATGAAAAGGACACTTGCACATGCATGTTTATAGCAGCACAATTCGCAATCACAAAAATATGGAACCAACCTAAATACCCATCAGCCAATGAGTGGATAAAGAATACCATGGAATACTGCTCGGCCATAAAAAGGAATGAAATAATGGCATTCTCAGCAACCTAGATGGAGTCGGAGACCATTATTCTAAATGAAGTAACTCAGGAATGGAAAATCAAACATCATATGTTCTCACTTATATGTGGGAGCTAAGCTATGAAGATGCAAATGCATAAGAATGATATAATGAATTCTGGGGACTTGTGGGGAAGAGTGAGGTGGGTGAGGGATAAAAGACTACACATTGAGTACAGTGTACCCTCCTTGGGTAATGGGTGCACCAAAATCTCAGAAATCACCACTGAAGAACTTATCCATGTAACCAAACACCACCTGTTCCCCCAAAACTATTGAAATACGTAAAAATAAAATAAGATAAAATAGTCTCTGTGTTCTTCTACTTTGCCTTATTTTTCTTTATACAATTTATCAATACTGAAATATTTATTGTTTGATTTTTTTTAAATTTGTCTACCTCTCTAGGATGTGTACAGGCACCTTTTCTGATTCACCACTGAAACCCCAGAGTTTAGAACAGTGTTGGGGCATAGTACAACCTCAATAAATATTTGTTTTAAGTAGATAGATATACATAAATGATTGATGGATTGATTGGTCACTAGAGCCTCAAATGGGAGGTTGACTAAGAAAATATTTAGAATAGACTGTTTTTCTCCTTGAAACAGAAAAGTAAGTATCTGGAACAGATGGCCAATTTACTGACCAAACTTGCATTTCATCTATGATGTGTTTATAAATTTAGATTTGTAAGGCAAGTCCATGACTTCCAATAATATATACACCTTCCCCATGTAACAAATGTAATTTTTTAGGTCAGCAGTACTGCTGTGTACATTTCTAATCACATGGCTGTCTTAGAGGTTGCTGTATTGCCACATATAAGTATTATGTGCCTTTTGTTCAGATGTGACTATTCTGACCGGTGTGTGCGTTTGCTAAGATTACTTAATCATGAGGTGGCCCTTGTGCACATTTCATAAAAGCCAACATTTGAACTCAATTAGCCTAAAGAACATAATAACTAATCTTCTGGACTTCTCATGGCACTAGATTTTAAGCTCTTTTGAAATTTAGTTTTATAGTCAGCTTTTTAATGTCATCTCTACTTTCAGTATGCTTTGGATTATGTAGAATGTGTTTTATTGATTAGATGATGAAAAGCAAGTGAAAACTAAATTTGTTTGTATTCATAACTTTATACTTGCATAAGAGAGGAAAAGCCAAATCTGTGCTGCCAAATTTTATTCTTTATGTCACTTAACAATGTGGTCCTTTTTGTTTGAAATATTTGATAGATGATACTGAGAAAGTCAGTGAATAAAGGGGAATTAGGAAGATTCTTAGATGAATTTTTCTCTTTCAAGCCACTATAATAATTCATGTGCCTAACATATCACTGAAGCACAATGTCATCTGAATCCCCCATTCGTTTCTTGTCTAAAAATCTGAATAACATGATCTCTATTGACCTTGGATGACTATTTTCAAGGGGAATCAGAGTTTTTTCAACTCTGAAAAAACATTTCCTTTCATTGAGCTCTCTTGACATTAGTAGCTAAATAAAATGAAATGGTAATGCTACTGTTGTTTTGTTTTAAGGCAAATGGATACATTCTTTTGTGTAATGCATGTGTTCCTGGGAGGAGAGTGCATAAAGCATGTTTTAGTAAATAGCATCATGTTTTAAATATATGGAAAAAATTTAGTGTTTGGATAACACTGCGGCAAAATTCCCCTGTAAATCAATTCTTTTGTCATGTACATAATTGCACATCATTTATTCCAAAAAATATGATTTTCATGTAAAAAATCTTTTCATATGAACTAAATCAGTACTGTTATCCCATTGGAAAGAGAATATCTCCATCTGTGAACACTTTGTGACCCTCTTCTTAATAGAGAGACAGGCCAAGTTAAGAACTGGTGATATTTCCCACACCTGTTTTCTGTGTTTCTGCTAAGAAAACCTTCTACTGTACACACTTCTCCCACCTAGAATTGCTTGGCCTTCCTGATACACCATTCCCACTTCACTTGAACAAATTATATCCTTTTCCCGCTTTTAAATGCAGTCTCCTGGTTGACCTTTTCAAAGACTAACCTCATTTGACCCCAATCTCTCCAATGCCTTACCGTTGCTTTATGCCTTTTTTTATATAACACTGTGTACTTTTTTATACAAGTATTATTTAATAGCTGTAATTATGTTTATAAATTTTGCTATTTCCTGATGATTTTATGGTTATGTTTTTCATTTTTGTGTATTTTTTCCTAAGAGTTCATCTTTTTCTGACTTTGGGAAACCAAGTCTATTGGCTCACTCAGTGCCTGGTTCATAGCATATACTGAATGTTTTTGAATGAACCAGTGAATGAGTAAATCTATTATGTACATTTAATACATAAATGTATTTTGAATGAATGAATGAGTGGTAAAATTCTTTTGATCACAGATTTTTCCCTTTACTCCATTTCTATATTCTAAAATGGTCCACTAAATGCATTATAATACATTATATCTGTTCAACAGCTCTTTGTTTCTTTACTGTGTGAGTGGTAATTCTACCCATGTATTAAAAAGATAACTTAGTTTGTCAAAGTTTTTTTCTTTTTTCCTCTGGTGTAATGGTTAATTTTATGTCAACTCGACAGGGCCAAGAGATCCCAGAGAGCTGGTAAACATTTCTGTGTATGTCTATGTGGGTCCTTTTGGAAGAGATTAACATTTGAATCAGTACACTGAGTAAAGACAATCTGCCCTCACCAGTGTGGATGGGCATCACTTAATCTGTTGAGAGCCCAGATAGAATGAAAAGGTGAAGGAAGGGCTAATTTGCTCTCTTCTTGAGCTGGGACATCCATCTTCTCCTGCCCTTGGACATCAGAGCTCCTGGTTCTTGGGCCTTTGGACTCTCGGACTTACACCATTGGCTCCCCGGTTCTCAGAGATTCGGACTCAGGCTGAAGTACACACCAGCTTTCCTGGTTCTCCAGCTTGCTGGTGGCACCTCATGGGACTTCTCAGCCTCCATAATCATGTGAGCCAATTCCCATAATAAATATCCTCTTTTATATCTCTATATAGCCTATTAGTTCTGAAACCGAATACATCTAGTCACCAAATAGCACTTTTAAATTTTTTTCTAGCCTTTACATGTGCATCAAAATACTACCTAAACTGCACAGCCAAAGTATGCCTCTAAACCTTCACATTTGTGCACCAAACCAGATCAAGGCTGAACCATAGAAAGAATAAGCAAAAGTGAAGTTATATGCATTTTATCCACCTCTTACCCCTACTGCATTTTGAACACAACATTTTACTTGCTTAAATTCTCCAGAACAGTTGGGCATGAGCCCTTTTATTAGTCTCTAGTTCCCTGTTGATAGGAAAGTGATTTGTAAATATGTAAACAAAATTGTACTGCAAGCAAAAATGTAGATGCTCCATGGAGTTTATTATAATGGGCTTTGGTCTATGTTTTCTGTGTTGTTTTTTTTTTCTTATTTACAAATCTGAACTTCTGTGATGTTCTAAACTTAGTGGATATTCAATAAGTGTTGTGAGAGAAAACAAAAAGCCCAGCATAACATGTCATCTACATCACATGTAGCATTGGGATGATAGTTTACCTGTAATTATCTATAATTATCCTTCTAAAATGATAATGAGCTATATTTGTCCTATTTAGCAACCATTCATTAGATGTATCTGTAGGTCTGTATGAACTCATTGGTACATCTTTTAGATATCCTTCCTTCAGGCCTAATTCGTTGGGGATTTTAATACCCTTGATTAGATTTCCAATTTTACTCCTTTTAATACAGATTTTTGTCATCCCCGTAATTAATTAAAACATTTTTATTTTTCTAAAGCATAGTAATCAGCTGGCAGTGGCATAGGTTCCATCATCTTTAGGCTGTGCTATTCAAATCAGGCTTTTAGCATTCAATGTGGCTTGTCCCAAAATTGATTTGATTACAGCCATCTGTATTGACCATGAAGGCAAACTCAATGTGATTTGCCCACCAAGCATAGGAACAGCAATAAGTTCAGATCATTCATTGTTCCTTTCCAGGAAAGGCAATAAATCATTAAAGCAAGTGTTTATCACTGGAACTGTGCAGGCAGGGTCATGTCAATACCTAATATCAAAAAGAAAATACAAAAGGCTTAACAAAATGGAAAAAAAGGGATTTTTAAAAAATTACTTATTTGGAAAACTGTGTTAGTTGATTAATCTATTTCCCAAATATGGGTATGCATATAGATATGTCCTAACTTCTATTGTCAGAGTGTGATCTTTGGAAAATAGGGTAACTGTTTACTGTGAAAATTAGATCATTGAAAGTTAAGGTGTTATAGTTACAACAGCAACCACAAACACATTACTGGAAAGCAACAGGATAGAAGCTTAGGACTAAGAAACATTTAAAAGTGATTATATTTGTTATAGTTTTCATTTTTATTACAGTTCAAGAGGAATAAAGAAAGAAAAAGCGTAAGAGTAATTTATGGAAAGGTTTGCTATGAAAAGTATGCCTTTATTTCATGATATTGACATCTTAATGTTTCATATTAACTCACAAGCTCTCCTTCCTGCTCTTCAGAAGCTACAAGGCTGGGTGCAGTGGCTAACACCTATAATTCCAGTGCTTTGGAGGCTAAGGCAGAAGAATTGCTTCAGGCCAGGAGTTCAAGACCAGCCTGGACAACATAGCGAGACCTCGTCTCTACAAAAAATAGAAAACTTAGCCAGGCATGGTAGCGCACACCTGTAATCCCAGCTACTTGAAGGGCTGAAGTGGGAGGATTACTAGAGCCCAGGAGTTCAAAGCTGCAGTGAGCTATGATCGTGCCATGACATTCCAGTCTGGGTGACAGAGTGAGACCCTATCTATCTCAAAAAAAAAAAAAGCAACAAACATGAAATAGGATAAATGGCCTGTGGCCAAAATTGCAAAAACAAATAATATAATAACTGACAGGTCAGCTATAGCCTTGTGTTTCCAGATTCACAGAGACCGAAATTTGATGCTAACAACTTGTTTTAAAAAACAGAAATGTCTATAAAAACAGAAAATGAACAATTTCAGTCTCATTGCCCTGGTTACTGAAAGATTGGAAAATTGGGTTGTAGAGGATATAGAAACCATTCTTAGTTTTTAATATTAATATTTTGTAACTTAATAGTATACTTTAATATTTGTATAGCCTAAGTATATAGGCTATGGCCAGATTGACAGGATTAAGCTGAAACCTTGTTCTCTTCACTTACTGATGTAATCTAGGCCAAATTACCCTACCTGAGCTTTATTGATAAAATGAAGAAAATAAAAGTCCCTACCTCATAGGATTGATACAAAAATAAAGTAAGGACATGCATATTTCCTGGTTCCTGGTTGTATTAGTCTGTTCTCACACTGCTAATAAAGACATACCCAAGACTGGGTAATTTATAAATGAAAGAGGTTTAATGGACTCACAGTTCCAAATGGCTAGGGAGGCCTCACAATCATGGCAGAAGGCAAAGGGGAAGCAAGATACATCTTACATGGTGGCAGACAAGAGGACATGTGTTGGGGAACTCCCATTTATAAAACCATCAGATCTCATGAGACTTGTTCACTACTATGAGAACAGTATGGGGGAAACCACCCCCATGATTCAATTATCTACACATGGCCCTGCCCTTGACACGTGGGGATTATTACAATTCAACGTGAGATTTGGGTGGGGACACAGCCAGCCCATATCATTGGTACGTAGGAAACATTCAATAAATGAAAGCTACTATAGTTATTCAAACCATGAATTATTAGTTGTTATACATCCCGTTAGCTTTATTCCTGACATGTACAGACATCTGACAGGTATAGACAGATGACAGATACAGGCAGAGTATACAGAAAGAGGAAGTTTGACTAGAAGAGCCAGTGGTCTTCATTCAAATTGTTTCTGTCTAATGCCTTAGTGCAGAAGGCCACACGTACAGACACACACACCCCTTACATGTTAATGTCACATAGGATTATAAAAACGTGGATTAATTAAAAACAAAGCAAAAAAAAAAGGTATCTAAGCCACAGGGAAACTTGGTTAAAAATCTGGAGATTTAGATTGATCATGAAGAGTTATATTTAAACATGATTACCATGTTGCCAGTGGGAAGTGCTTCTTAGAATAATCAGGTTTGAGAAGGCTAATAATAGAACACTAGATCTGGAGTTGCCTGTGAGTCACTTGGAAGGGGAAAGCTAAGCCCACCATGAAGCCTAGGTATTGAATGAAGGCCACGTAAGGACCACAGTAGAACAAAATCAGGGAAAAAAAGCTGACCATTTCCACAATTTCCAGTCTCTTCAGTTGTGACTTTTCCTTCAAGCAATTGAAATTGTAAAATCTGTGACTTCTTGAAGGATTGAGACTCTGTTTTATTCATTTCTTATCTCCATTGCCTAGCACAGTTCCTAACATGTAGCTGGTGCTCAACACAAGTTTGGTGGGTTCAATGAATGAAGGTTCTCAGTGAGAGAAATAGCTCAGCAAATAAAATTCTATGTTTACGCTACTACAAAACATTTTGAAACAGCCTTAGGTTTTGTATCTGTGTTGTATGATCTCATTAAGGATAAAATCTTATTTATACCTTTGCAACATGGATAGGGCTCAAGAAATTGATTTCATTGTTTGCTACTTTAAGCAATCAAGGACAAAAATGAAGTATGTTTTAATTGCTGCCTCTGTCTGTCAAAATTATGACTAGTATTTATTTTTAATTAAATATTATTTAGGAAATACCTATAATTTCTCATGGACCTGAAACTTTCTGCCTTTTATCTGTGTAATGTTTGGGGAAAGATTTTATTTGTTCTAGATATTCACATTCCTAAAGTAATCAGGAATAACTCTAATGTGAGACCTATTTAAATTCTGCTAACAAAGCTAATGAGCTAAATTGAGATGTTTAGTTTAAAAACCAAAAATCTATGTTTCTGAAATGCCATAATCTAGCCCAACGCAATTCATAATCTTCAAGAGAACTACAGCTTTAAGTCACAGTCAAGTTCCCACAGTCTTCCCAGAGAACTATCATTTCATAAATAAGTTAACATATTCTAGTTAATATTATATATTTTCATACTAGTTGAATCTTTACTTAAATGCACATTTGTCAAATAGTCAATCATTCGACAAATATTTAGTATCCGCTTATCAAAGGCACTTTTTGGCTTCAGGGATACAAACTGAATAAGACAAGCAAGGTCTCTACTCTTTTCTCACATTCTAGTTGGCTAGACAGATAATAAGCAACAAAATAAACAAATAGGCAAGATTAATTTCTGATGATAATTAATGCTGTTAAGTCAACAAAACAATGCTTTGATATAAAGAGATGAGGGATATAAATTTAAATTGGGTAATCAAGGAAAGATATCTCTGAGGATGTTACTTTTGAGCTGAAATACGAATGATACAAAGGAGCCAGCCATCGAAAGATCCCTGTAAAGAGAAAAGAAGATAAATGAACCAATGAACAAAATACAAAAGTCTTAAAGTGATGATAAGCTTTTAATTTTAAAAGACCAGAAAAGATGCCAACCCAATCAAAATCCCAGCAGGCTTTTGTAGAAATTAGCAAACTGATCCTCACATTCATATGGAAATGCAGAATAATTTAAAAACAACTTTGAAGAAAATTAAAGCTGTAAGACACACCAACTGACTTCAAGATATAGTATAAAGTCATGATATTTAAGACCATGTGGTATCAATGTAAAAATAAATAGATCAATGAAACAAAATACAGAGTCCAGAAACAGATCCACATTTATATGGTTAATTGATTTTTAACAAAGGTTTGACTCAATGAATAAAGGAAAGTCTTTTCCACAAATTTTCTGGAAAAATTGGATATGGTTTTCAAAAAAAAGGATAAAAGCACTCATCTATACCTTATACCATATTAAAAATTAAATATTTTGCAAAGATAAATATAAAGCCGAAAACTCTAAAATTGCTAGCAGAAAACATAAGAGAAACACTTTGTGACTTTGGGTTAGGCAAAGATTTCTTAAAAATGACACCTTAGCAAACTAACACAGGAACAGAAAACTGAATACCACATGTACTCACTTATAAGTGGGAGCTAAATTATGAGAATACACGACTCATAGAGGGGAACAGTACACACTGGGGCCTTTTGGAGGGTGGAGGGTGGGAGGAGGAAGAGGATCAGGAAAAATAACTAATGTGTACCAGGCTTAACACCTGGGTGTGAAGTAATCTGTACAACAAACCCCCATGACGCAAGTATACCTATATAACAAACCTGAACATGTACCCCTGGACTTAAAATAAAACTTTAAAAGAATGACACTGAAAGTATAATCCATAAAAGAAAAATTTGATATATTGAACTTAATCAAAATTAAGAACTTCAGCTTTCTGAAAAACATTGCAAAGACAGTGATGACAAACCACTGACTGGGAGAATATGTTTCCAATTATCATATCTTATAAAGGAGTTAATATGGAAAATGTGAAGAACTGTCAAATCCAGTAATAAGGAAACAAATGACAATTTTTTTAAATGAGCAAAAGATTTAATGGACACCTATCCATAGAAGATATGCAGATATTCAGATGACAAATCAGCATGTGAAAAAAAATACTTCCTATCATTAGCCATTGGGCTAATATTTACCTGTTACAAAATTTAAAATTAACAGCTGATCATACCAAGTGTTAGTGAACATGTGGAGTAACTGGAACTCTCATACATTGCTGGTAGGAATATAAAATGGTATAATCACTTTGGAAAATGGTTTGGCTGTATTTTTAAATGTTAAACATCTACCTACCACATGACTCAGCCAATTTTTTTATGGGTACGTAGTGCATGTATGTATTTATGGGGTAGATGAGATACTTTGATCCAGGCATACAATGTGTAATTATCAGGGTAAATGGGCTATCTATCCCCTCAAGCATTTATTATTTCTTTGTGTTACAAACCTTCCAATTATATTCTTTTAGTTATTTTAAAATGTGCAATAATTCTTTGGGAAGCTGAGGTGGGCAGATCACCTGAAATCAGGAGATTGAGACCAGCCTGACCAACAAGGAGAAACCCCGTCTCTACTAAAAATACAAAATTAGCCGGGCGTGGTGGCACATGCCTGTAGTCCCAGCTACTTGGGAGACCGAAGCAGGAGAATTGCTTGAACCTGGAAGGCGGGGATTGTGGTGAGCCAAGATCGCGCCATTGCACTCCAGCCTCGGCAGCAGGAGCGAAACTTTGTCTCAAAAAAAAAAGAAGTGCAATAATTTATTGTTGACTGTAGTCACCCTGTTATGTTATCAATTACTAAATGTTAATTATTGTTTATAACTGTATTTTTGTATCCGCTAACCATCCCCATTTCTCCTCCTGCCCCCACTACTCTTCCCAGCCTCTGGTAACCATCATTCTATTCTCTGTCTCCGTGGATTCAATTGTTCTAAATTTTAGCTCCCACAAATAAGTGAGAACATGTGAAGTTAATCTTTCTGTACCTGGCTTATTTCACTTAACATGATGTCCTCCAGTTCCATCCATGTTGTTGCAAATGACAGGATCACATTCTTTTTTATGGCTGAATAGTACTACATTATGTGTATATACCACATTTTCTTTATCCATTTATCTGTTGATGGACAAAAGGTTGCTTCCAAATTTTGGCCATTGTAAACAGTGCTGCAATAAATGTAGGAGTGCAGATATCTGTCTTATATACCTATTTCATTTCATTTGGGTATATAACTAGCACTGGGATTGCTGGAACATATGGTGGTTCTATTTGTAGTTTTTTAGTAACCTACATATTTTTCTCCATAGTCCTGTACAAATTTGCATTCCAGCAAACAGTTTACGAGGGTTCCCTTTTCTCCACATCCTTGCTGGCATTCATTATTACTCGTATTTTTGGATAAACATCATTTAAACTGGGGTGAGATGCTATCTCATTGTAGTTTTGATCTGCATTTCTCTGATGATCAGTGTTGTTGAGTATCTTTTCACATACTCGCTTGCTGTTTGTATGTCTTCTTTTGATAAATGTCTATTCAGATATTTTGCCCATTTTTAAATCAGAGTATTAGGTTTCTATCCTATAGAGTCGTTTGAGCTCCTTATATATTTTGGTTATTAATTCCTTGTCAGATGAATAGTTTGCAAATATTGTATTCCATTCTGTAGGATGCCTCTTCACTTTGGTAATTGTTTCCATTGCTTTGCAGAAGCTTTTTAACTTGATGTGATCCCATTTGTCCATTTTCACTTTGCTTGCCTGTGCACATGGGATATTACTCAAGAAACTTTTACCCAGTCCAATGTCCTGGAGAGTTTCCCCATTTTCTTTTAGTAGTTTCATAGCTTGAAATCTTAGATTTAAGTCTTTAATCCATTTTGATTTGATTTATTTTATTTTATTTTTTATTATGCTTTAAGTTCTAGGGTACATGTGCACAACGAGCAGGTTTGCTACATAGGTATACGTGTGCCATGCTGGTTTGCTGCACCCATCAACTTGTAATTTATATTAGGTATTTCTCCTAATGCTATCCCTTCCCCAGCCCCCACCCCCCGACAGGCCCCAGTGTGTGATGTTCCCCACCCTGTGTCCAGGTGTTCTCGTTGTTCAATTCCCACCTATGAGTGAGAACATGTGGTGTTTGGTTTTCTGTCCTTGTGATAGTTTGCTCAGAATGATAGTTTCCAGCTTCATCCATGTCCCTGCAAAGGACATGAACTCACCCTTTTTTATGGCTGCATAGTATTCCATGGTGTATATGTGCCATATTTTCTTAATCCAGTCTATCATTGATGGACATTGGGGTTGGTTCCAAGTCTTTACTATTGTGAATACTACTGCAGTAAACATATGTGTGCATGTGTCTTTATAGTAGCATGATTTGTAATCCTTTGGGTATATATCCAGTAATGGGATTGCTGGGTCAAATGGTATTTCTAGTTCTAGATCCTTGAGGAATCGCCACGCTGTCTTCCACAATGGTTGAACTAATTTACACTCCCACCAACAGTGTAAAAGCATTCCTATTTCTCCACATCCTCTCCAGCATCTGTTGTTTCCTGACTTTTTAATGATTGCCATTCTAACTGGTGTGAGATGGTATCTCATTGTGGTTTTGATTTGCATTTCTCTGATACCCAGTGATGATGAGCATTTTTCCTTGTGTCTGTTGGCTGGATAGATGTTTTCTTTTGAGAAGTGTCTGTTCACATATTTTGCCCACTTTTTGATGGGGTAGTTTCTTTTTTTTCTTGTAAATTTGTTGGAGTTCTTTGTAGATTCTGGATATTAGCCCTTTGTCAGATGGGTAGATTGTGAAAATTTTCTCCCATTCTGTAGGTTGCCTGCTCACTCTGATGGTAGTTGTTTTGTTTCGTTTTTTTTTTTTTGAGATGGAGTCTTGCTCTGTCGCCCAGGCTGGAGTGCAGTGGCGTGATTTTGGCTCACTGAAAGCTCCGCCTCCCAGGTTCATTCCTGCCCCAGCCTCCTGAGTAGCTGGGACTACAGGCACCCACCACCACACCTGGCTAATTTATTTTTATTTTTATTTTTATTTTTATTTTTATTTTTATTTTTAGTAGAGATGGGGTTCACTGTGTTAGCCAGAATAGTCTCGGTCTCTTGACCTCGTGATCTGCCCATCTTGCCCTCCCAAAGTGCTGGGATTACAGGCGTGAGCCACCATGCCCAGCCAATCTGATGGTAGTTTCTTTTGCCGTGCAGAAGCTCTTTAGTTTAATTAGATCCCATTTGTCTACTTTGGCTTTGTTACCATTGCTTTTGGTATTTTAGTCATGAAGTCCTTGCCCATGCCTATGTCCTGAATCATATTGCCTAGGTTTTCTTCTAGGGTTTTTATGGTTTTAGGTCTATCATTTAAGTCTTTAATCCATCTTGAATTAATTTTTGTATAAGGTGTAAAGAAGGGATCCAGTTTCAGCTTTCTACATATGCCTAGCCAGTTTTCCCAGCACCATTTGTTAAACAGGGAATCCTTCCCCATTTCTTGTTTTTGTCAGGTTTGTCAAAGATAAGATGGCTGTAGATGTGTGGTGTTATTTTTGAGGCTTCTGTTCTGTTCCATTGGTCTATATATCTGTTTTGGTACCAGTACCATGCTGTTTTGGTTACTGTAGCCTTGTAGTATAGTTTGAAGTCAGGTAGTGTGATTTTTTATAAGGTGAGAGATAGGTTCTAGTTTTGTTCTTCTGCATAAGGATATCCAGTTTTCCCAGAACCATTTATTGAAGAGATTGTCCTTTCCCCAATGTGTTTTCTTGGCACTTTTGTCAAAAATAAGTTCACTGTACATGTGTGAATTTATTTCTGGGTTCTCTGTTCTGTTCCATTGGTCTATGTGCCTGTTTTTATGCTAGAACCATGCTGTTTTTGTTACAATATTTCTGTAGTATAATTTGAAGTCTGGTAATGTGATTCCTCCAGTTTTGTTTGTTTTGCTCTGTATGGCTTTGGCTAGCCTAGTTCTTTTGTGGTTCCATATAATTTTAGGAAATTTTTTTTCTATTTCTGCAAAGAATGTCATTGATATTTGATAGGGATTGCATTGAATCTGCACATAGCTTTGGTTAGTATGAGCATTTTATTGTAACAATATTGATTCTTCCAATCCCTGAACATGGAATATATTTCCATTTTTTTGTGTGTCCTCTTCAATCAAGTTCTTGCATCAGTGTTTTACAGTTTTTATTTTAGATATCTTTCACTTCTTTAAGTCTATTCCTAAGTATTTTATTTTATTCATAACTATTGGAAATGGGATTTGATTTCTTTTTCATATTGTTTGCTGTTGGCATATAGAAATGCTATTGATTATTGTATGTTGGTTTTGTATCTTGCCACTTTACTGAATTAGTTTGGGTTTTTCCACATATAAGATTTTATCATCTGTAAACAAGGATAAATTGACTTCTTCCTTTCCCATTTGAATGCCTTTTATTTCTTTCTGTTGTCTGATTACTCTACTAGGACTTCCAGTATTATATTGAATAACAGTGGTGAAAGAGGACATCCTTGTCTTGTTCCAGATCTTCAAAACTGAAGAGTTTTCAGTTTTACCCCATTAAGTATTATACTAGCTGTGAGTCTGTCATATATAGCTTTTATTATGTTAAAGTATGTTTCTTCTATCCCCAGTTTTTTGAGAGTTTTTATTATGAAGGAATATTGAATTTTATCAAATGCTTTTTCAGCATCTATTGAAGTGATTTTATGTTTTTTTCCCTTTATTCTGTTGATATGATATATCACATTAATTGATTTGTGTATGTTAAACCATCCTTGCATTCCAGGGATAAATCCAACCTGGTCATGATTAATGACCTTTTTAATGTGTTGCTGAATTTGGACTGCTCTTATTTTGTTGAGGATTTTTGTATCAATGGCATCAATGTTCATCAGGGATAATGGCCTGTAGTTTTCTTTTTGTGATGTGTCTTTGTTTATGATATCAGCATAATACTGGCTTCATAGAATGAGTTTAGAGGTAGTCCCCTTATTTTTCAGAATTGTTTGAGTAGGATTGGTATTAGTTCTTCTGCAAATATTTGGTAGAATTTAGCAGTGAAGCCATCAGGTCCACGCCTTTTTTTTTTTTTTTTCTGGGAGACTTTTTAGTATGGCTTTGATCTAATTACTTGTTACTAGTCTATTCAGGTTTTGGATTTCTTCAGCCTTCAATCTTGGTAGGTTGTCTGTGTATAATCATTTATCCATTTCTTCTAGATTTTTCAATTTATTGGCATAGAGTTGCTCATAGAATTCTCTAACGATCATTTGAATTTCTGGAGTATCAGTTGTAGTATCTCCTTTTTCACCTCTGATTGTATTTAGGCCTTTTTAGTTTTTTTCTTAGTCTGGCTAAAAGTTTTCATTTTTGTTTATCTTTTCAAAAAACCAACTTTTCATTTCATTGACGTTTTGTATTATTCTTTTCTGTTTCTGTTATATTTCTGCTCTAATCTTTATTATTGCTTTCTTCTAGTAATTTTGTGTTTGTTTTGTTCTAGCTTTTCAGCTTTTCTAGTTCTTTAAAATGCATAATTAAGTAGTTTATATAAAGTTTTTCTACTTTTTTGATGTAGGAACTTATTGCTAGAAACTTTTCTCTAGTACTGCTTTTACTATAACCCATAGATTTTGATATGTTGTGTTTCCATTTTCATTTGTTTCAATAATTTTTGAAAATTTTATTTTAATGTCTTTATTAATTCACTGGTCATTCAGAAGCATATTGTTTAATTTCCATGTGTTTGTATAGTTTCTAACATTCTTCTTGTTATTGATTTCTAGTTTCATTCCATTGTGGTCAGAGAAGAGACTTGATATGATTTCAATATTTTTTAATTCTTTAAGACTTCTTTTGTGACCTAACATATCATCTATACTTGAGAATGATCCACGTGCTGAGGAGAAGAATGTGTATTCTGCAGCCATTGGATGAAATGTTTTGTACATATCTATGATGTCCATTTGTTCTATAGTATAGATTAACTATGATATTTCTTTGTTGATTTTTCTGTCTGGATGATCTGTCCAATGTTGAAAGTGAGGCATCGATGCCTCCAGCTGTTATTGTATTGGGATCTGTCTCTCTCTTTAGCTCTGATAATATTTGCTTTACATATCTGATCCTCCAGTGTTGGGAGCATATATATTTACAATTGTTATATTCTCTTACTGAATTGACACCTTTATTGTTATATAATAACCCTTTTATCACTTTTTGTAGTTTTTATCTTGAAACTTATTTTGTCTCATATGAGCACAGCTACTCCTGCCCTTTTTTTGGCTTTCATTTGCATGAAATATCTTTTATATCTTTTCATTTTCAGTCTCGATGAGTTTTTATAGGTGAAATGTTTTTATAGGTGAAATGTTTTTCTTGTAGCGGATCAATGGGTCTTGCTTTTTCATCCATTCAGCCACTCTATGTCTTTTGATTGGAAAGTTCAGTCCATTTACATTCAGTGGTATTGATAAGTAAGGACTTACTACCACCATTTTGTTATTTGTTTTCTGGTTGTTTTGTGGTCTTCTCTTCCTTTCTTCCTCCCTTTGTCTATTTAGTGAAGGTGGTTTTCTCAGGAGGTATATCTTAATTTCTTGTTATTTTTATACCTGTTGTAGGGTTTTTTATGATTTGAGGTTATCAGGAGGCTTGCAAATAACATCTTATAACCCATTACATTAAACTGATGACAACTTAACCCTGACTGCAAAAACAAATTAACAAACAAGCAAAGAGAAAACTAATAACTCTATACACTTTAACTTTATCACCCCATTATTATTTTTGATTGGTTCATCTTTTAGTCTTCCTACTCAAGATATGGGTGCTTTAAACACCACAGTTACAGTGTTCTAATATTACGTGTTTGTCTGTTTATTTATTATGACCAGTGAGTTTTGTATGTTCAGATGTTTTCTTATTGCTCATTAACATTATTTTCTTTCAGATTGAAGAACTCTCCTTAGCATTTCTTGTAGGACAGATATGATGTTGGTTAAATCTTTCACCTTTTGTTTGCCTGGGAAGATCTTTATTTCTCCTTCATGTTTGAAGGATATTTTCACCTATGTTATTCTAGGATAAAAGCATTTTCAGTCATCCTTTTAAATATATCATGCCGCTCTCTCCTGGCCTGGAAGGCTTCCACTGAGAATTCTGCTGCCAGACATATTGAAGTTCTTTTGTATGCTATGTGTTTCTTTTCTCTTGCTACTCTTAAGTTTCTTTCTTTATACTTGACCTTTGGGAGTTTGATTATTAAAAGACTTAAAGTAGTCTTCTTTGGGTTAAATTTGCTTGGTGTTATAGAACCTTCTTGTTCTTGTAAGTTGATTTCTTTATTTAGATTTGGAAAATTTTCTTTTACTATCCCTTTGAATAAACTTTCAACCCTGATCTCTCTCTTTACCTCCTCTTAAAGATTAAGAACTTTTAGATTTGCTATTTTGAAGCTATTTTCTACATCTTATGGGCATTCTTCATTCTTTCTTATTCTTTTTTCTTTTGTCTTCTATGACTCTGTGTTTTCAAATAGCCTGTCTTCAAGCTCAGTAATTCTTTCTTCTGTTTGATCAACTCTGCTATTGCAAGATGCTGCTGCATTCTTTGTACATCAATTGAATTTTTCAGCTCCAGAATTTCTGCTTGATTTTTAAAAATTATTTCAATATCTTTGTTAAAAATTTATCTGATAAGATTCTGAATTCCTTCTCTGTGTTATCTTAAATTTTGTTAAGCTTCCTAAAAACAGGTATTTTGAATTCTCTGAAAGGTCACATATCTCTTACTCAGGATTGGTCACTGGTGCCTTATTTAGTTTGTCTTGTGAGGTCATGTTTTCCTGAATGGTCTTAATGCTTGTGGGTGTTCATTTATTTTTGTGCATTGAAGAGTTAGGTATTTATTGTAGTCTTTGCAGTCTGAGCTTATTTGTACCCATCCTTCTTGGGAAGGCTTTCCAAGTATTCAAGTGTTATGATCTAAATCTTTAGTCACTGTTGCAATATCTGCATTAGGGGGCACTCCATGCTCAGTAACACTGGGACTCTTACAGACTTGTAGAAATACCACCTTCCTGGTCTTAGGTGAGATCCAGGGGAATTCCTTAGATTACTAGGCAGAGATTTGTTCTCTTCTCTCGCTTTCCTCCAAACAAATGGAGTCTCTCTCTGCATGCTGGGCTCCCTGGAGCTGTCAGAGGGGGTGACACAAGCACCCCTATGGTCACCATCACTGGGACTGTACTGTGTCAGACCTGAAGCCAGCATAACACTGGGTCTTGTCAATGTCCTGAGGTGTCCACTGCCTGGCTACCACCGATGCTCACTCAAGACTCAAAGGCTCTTCAGTCAGCAGGCAGCAAATGTAGCCAGGTTTATGCCCTTCCCTTCAGGGTGGTGAGCTCCCCCCTGGCCCAGAGTGGGACAAGAAATGCCATTTAGGAGCCCAGGTCTAGAGTTAGGAAACGTAAGAATCTACTTGGTACTCTATTCTACTGTGGCTGAGCTGGCACCCAAACCACAAGACAACATTCTTCCCACTCTTTCCTCTATGCAGAAGAAGTCTCTCGCTGTGGCCACCACTGTTCTAGGCTCACAGTGAGGATTGCCTGGTTACTGCTGATGTTTGCTCCAGGCCCAAGGACTCTTCAGTCAGCTTGTGGTGAATGCTGCCAGGCCTGGATCTCTCCCTTCGGAACAGTAGTCTTCACTCTGGCCCAGGATGGATCCAGAAATGCCATCTAAGAACCAAGGCCTGGAACTGGGGACCCTTGGAAACTGCTTGATGTTCTACTCCACTGTGGCTAAGCTGATACCCAAACTACAAGGCAAAGTCCCCTTTACTCTTCCCTCTCCTTTCCTCAAACAGGATTCTCTCCTCAAGGCCACAGCTGCTGGGAATGCACTCAGTCACACATAAAGCCAGTGTGGCCCTGGGTCTTACCCAAGGCCTATGACAAGTACTGCCTGGGTATTGCTCATGTTCATTCAAGGCCCAAGGGCTATTTAGCTGGCAGGTGATGAATTCTGCCAGGACTGGGTCCTTCCCTTCAAGGAAGCAGGTTATCTTCTGGCTCAGGATATATTTAGAAATTTTGTCCAGGAACCAGGACCTGGAATGAGGGCTGTCAGACTCTCCCTGGTGCCCTGTCCTACTGTGGCTTAGCTGGTATCCAAGTTGAAAAACGAAGTCCTCCTCTCCCCTCTCTTCTTCTCAAGCAGAAGGAAGGTGTGAATCCTGGAGCTGCAAGCTGTGCTGCCTGGAGTTGGCTGAGGGGTGGCACAAACATTCCCTTGCCCCTGTGGTTGGCATCTCACTAGGTTGTATGCACCCCAAATTCACTGACTCTGAGCCTAGAACAGCATCAGAACTTGCCCACAAATTGCAATTCTTGTGGCCTAGACCATCTTTCAAGTTTATTTAGAACTCCAGAGCGCTTTAGCTTGTTTTTGGGCTTGTCAGAATTCTGACAATACTGCTAGGTGATTCCCCTCTGGCTAAGGCTGGTCTAAATGCTCACTCTTTGGGTGCCAGCTGAGTTCTGCCCTGTGTTAGTCCCTGTTATGACAGCACAGCACTGAATTTCAGTGCAAAGTCCCACAATTACTGCTCTCTTCCTCCCCCAAGCACACAGATTCTCTCTCCATGCCACACAGTCACTGCCAGGGGATGAGGGAGGGGTGGCGCCAACATCTTTCATACTCTTTCAGTGCTTCTTTCATTGGTATGATGTTAAAACCAGGTACTATGATCACTCACCTGGTTTTTGGTTCTTATGAAGGTGTTTTCTTATGTGGATGGTTATTCAATTTGGTATTCTGCAGGGGCAACAATTGCTGGAAAGTTCTATTCAGTCATTTTGCTTCACCTTCTCTAGACTCGGTCATTTATACCTAGATATTTTTTGAAGAGAAATGAAAACAAATGGCGATAGAATGAGTTTTATACAAATGTCCATAGTAGCTTTATTTCTAATAGACAAAACCTGGCAGCAAACCAAATGTTCATCAGTAGGTGAATGGATAAATAAATTATGCTATATCCATACAATGGAACACTATTTGGCAATAAAAAGGAATGAACTATTAATATAAACAACATGGATAAATATCAAAATAACTATGCTGAGTAAAGGCAGCTAGACAAAAAAGTATATACTGTATAATTTCATTTAGATAAAATTCTAGAAAAGCTAAACTTACCTATAGTGACAGAAAGCATATTGTTTGTTGCCTGGTGGATGAGAAGATAATGAGGGACATGAGTGAGAAATTACAAAAGGGTAAAAGGAAATTTTTGGATGATAGATATGCCAATTTTGTTGATTGTGGTTATATTTTCATGCATATATCTAAATCTGAAAACTTTAAGTTATACACTTTAAGTGTGTTTAGTTTATTGTATGCCAATTATATCCTAATAAAAAATAGTTATATGTATATACACTATATAGATATGTACAAACATACACAAGCACCATACATGTAAAAGGATGTCAATGTAGCTGGAGAATAGTGAAGGAGAGAATGACTCAATATGATGTTAGAGGGGCAGGGAGGGGCCGGATCACAAAAAACCTTAAAGACCACAGGGAGGAGCTTGGACGTTGTTCCAAGTACTATAGGGAGCCATTGAAAGATTGTAAGTAGAGAAATGATTTGATTTGATTTACATTTTAGTCGGATTATTCCAAGTGCTACATGGAGAATGGATTACAGAAGAGCAACAGAAGCAATGAAGAGACTGGTTGAAAAGCTTTTGTCATTGTCCTGGCAAGAAAAAAAACACTGGTTTGGACTAAGGTGGCAGGAGTAGAAATGGAGGGAAGGATACAGGAAAATAAAATCTTTCTAAAATGAATGGCTTTCGGGATTGTTAAAATCTAGATTTGGATAATTTTAGGGACTTATAATTTGGAATATTATTTGTAAAGCACTGTTATAATCTAGGTCACAGTTCACCCAATGCAGCTCATTTTATTGTCCATCTTACCAGTAGCCTGTTTTTCTTGTTTCTCTACTTTGAGCACCCAAGTGCTAGCAGTAGGGTAAAGCACCCAACTCTTCCTTCTCTCTGCACTGCTGCCCAATTCTTCCTTACAAAGAGGCTCTAATATACACAATTTAAATCCAACTGGGTTGGGGTGGGGAAGAGGAGGAGGGATAAGAACTTGAAAAAGAATCTGCTTGAGCCTGATACTAGGATCAGATGATCCCCTGAGATTCCCTACAGATTGTTTACTACTTTACTAGGTAAGTTTCGGTGTTACTCTGGGATTTATCTCTTCTTTATGAAAAAGTATTCCTACTTCATGATTCTTGTTGTAAAAGATAATCCTCAGGGTAACCCAGAACTTATTTAGGATTATTTAGGAGGAGTCTTGTTAAGGAAAAGCAAAAAAAAGCCATTCAGATATTAATTCATCCATTCATTTAGTTTTTCCTTTATTCTTTCAATAAGTATTCAGTGGTAAATGTTGAAAGCAGATAAATGAAATAAAAGCAGGAGATTGTGGCAGGGTATTATTTCAGCTACCCCTGGTTTATTCAGTAAACATTTTCTTTAGTCTTCCTAAGTAAAGCTTATTTTATTTTCAGAACTAAAAGAAACTACATGTGCATAAAAGAAAGCATAGACTTTCTTCAAAGACAGATGATCTTGAATCACTACAAGGTGTCTAGCTACAACAATAGGTTTTAACAGCTGCAGTGAAAGATCTACTTAACCCAGCTATTTATATACAGATAGTTCTTCCATAGCACTGAAACAAATCCTCTGAAATTAAATTATTTGGTGAGCAGTTAAATGTTGAAGTAAGGATACACTCCTGCCAGGTGATAAAGAACTCATCCTCCCTCCATTTTCCCAGCTTCACATTAGTGACCACTCTCCTTTAAACCTGACTCCTCACAAAACACAGGAAGAGAACAAACAGTAAAGATGAATATCTGATAACAGTGAGCTCTATCACTGAAAAATGTATAACTAATAACTGAAGAATAATGAGGCTCTTACTTCCATAGCCAACACTGTTGGACTATAGGGTTCATATTTGAGGACCTGATTGAGGAGCCAAAAAATAGAAGGAAGCATGAGAAATCTGGCATCTACCCAGAATTTCACCAAGAGTCAGGAATAACATTTATTAAGCACATTCTAGATCTTATGTATGCTTTCCCATGTTACTTCTTTTCAGCCTTTGGAAATCCTCTGACCTAGGAATTATTTTCTGTATTTTTCACTTATGGAAACTGAAACCTGGAGAGGTCTCATAAGAATGAAGACTTGCATTCTAAACATCTCTTCTGACATCCCCAGCTGCTTCCTTTTATTCTCTTTTCTTTGACCCCTAAACGTCAGAATGCTCCAGGCTTAGTTCTTGTCTCCGCTATTTCTTTTCTTTTTTTCTCAATTAACCTCAATAGTTTATTGTCTTATTCATGCTGATGACTCCAAAGTTTATATTCCTAACCTGAGTCTCTCTGCAGCTGTTGTATTCAGCTGCCTACTTGACTATTTGACCTCTCCATTTGAATGTCTAGTAGGCATTTCACCCTTTAAATGTCTAAAACGAAACTCTAAATTCTCACAGCCATAAAACCTCTTCCTTGTTCAGGTTTCCCCATGTCAGTTAATGAAAACTCCATCCTTTTCACTTGCTCAGAACATTTTTAGCACCTCTTTTTTTTGATATGGCACATCCGATACATCAGTAAATCTTGTTAGTTCTACGTTCATAGAACAAAAGCTAACCACTTCTCACTAGCTGCATACCTAATGTTTTAGACCAAGCCATGGTCTTTTCCTGCCTGGATTAGGGGAATAATAGCCTTTTAATTGGCCTGCTTCGACCTTCTCTTCCCTACAGTCTATTCGCACAAGAGTAGCCAGAGTAGTCTTTTGAAAACACATGTCACATCTCTCCCCCAAACCCTCCAAGGTTTTTCAACTCTTAAATCAGTGAAAACCAGAAGCCCTATAAAAGTAAGGCAAGGTTTACATGAGGTAGTCCTATGCCTTGCTGATCTCATCCCTTACTACTCTCTCTTTTGCCCACTTTGCTCCAGCCACACTGGCATTGCTATTCTTGAACATACCAAGCATAGTCATGCATCAGGGACTTCGCACCTGCTATTTCCTCTGCCTAGAATGCTCTTCTCCCAGGTAGCCAAATGGCTTATTTCTGCACTTCCTACAGTTCTCTACTCAAACATGGCTTTATCAAAGATGCTTTCCTGACTACCACAAAATAGCAAATTCCTCCCCTCACAACACACCCATCTTCCTTACCTTCTATATTTTTCTTAATTGCCTGTATTATTACTGCACATACTATACATTTGACTTGTTTTCTTTTGATCTCTCACCACTAAAAGGTAATCTCCATGAGAACAGGAACTTTGTTTTATTCTTACTGAAGGCCCAGCACATACAACAGTGGCTGTTATGTATTAGACTGAATCATACAAAACCATTATTTTTGTAGTTCAAATAAAGTTGAGTATCAGCATCTTTATGGTTCAATTTAGTAGGTTCTCAGTACACACTTGTTTAATTGATGAATTAATTAATAGTGATGAATGAATTAAACCTATGACAGCCTACTTTCAAAGCCCATGTTCCTCCTAGTATACAATTCTACTTCTCTATTAATGAAATTGCTTCCTGGCAAAATGTTTCTTACTTTTCACAAGTTCTTTTATTTTTTCACAGTCATGAAGTTTGATATACTAGTTATGGGCGTTTGTATAGCCAGAAAAAAATAATAAAAGTATGCTGGTGCTTGCTAATTATTTTGGAAGTACCCGCCAACAGACAGTATTTGTTCTTTGTCTCTTAAGAAGAGCCAGACTGGATGAGTCAGATCTGAACATTGCCACTGAATTCAGCTACTTGGGCTAGACTCCATGGCTTCATGTGAGCCAGAACACTGGTCATGGTAAAGCACCCCTCTACTATCAGTTCATGACTCAGACTTTTCTCTTTTAATTTTGAAAATTCACAAGCAAAGAGGTATTCATTCCACTGAAACAGTTAATTTTTAGTTACATTTTGACTTGAGTGAATTACCCTTCAATTTCATAAAAATCTAGCATGTAATAAATGCTACAGTAAATACCACTAGCTGCCATAATACATAAACCGCATACTCTGAGTGGATCAGCACAATAAGTGTTTATTTCTCATTCATGTTGCAGTACAATGAAGGTAGACTAGGCAGCTCTCTTCTTATGCTTTATTCAGGGACCCCAGATGCCTACCATTTTGTGGCCCCACCTTTCCCTAGGTTCATAGCATCCTCTCCATCCATTCAGTAAGTAGATGAGAGAAGAGAGCAAGGATTCTCTGTGGAAGGGGTTATGGTTTAGGCTCATGTGTTAGTCAAGGGTCTCCAGAGAAACAGAACCAATAGCGAGAGAGAGAGAGAGTGTGTGTGTGTGTGTGTATGTGCGCACGTGTGTGTGTGTACGTGCATGTGTGTGTGTGTGAGAGAGAGAGAGAGACAGACAGAGAGAGAGAGAGAGAGAGAGAGATTTATTATAAGGAATTGGCTCATGCTATTACGGAGGCTGACATATCCTAAGATCTGCAGTCAGCAAGCTGGAGACCCAGGAGAGCTGATGTTGCCATCCAAGTCTGAAAGCAGAAAAGAAAACAACATCTTAGCCCAAAGGCAGTCAGGTAATGGGAATTCCTTTTCACTCGGCCTTTTTGTTCTAGTTAGTCTTCAACTGATTGCCCTACCCATATTAGAGAGGGCAATCTACTGTACTCAGTCTACCAGTTCAAATGTTAGTCCCATCCAGAAACACCCTCACAGATCCACCTAGAATAATGTTTGGCCAAAAACCAGAGCACTCTGTGGCCCCATCAGGTTAACATAAAATGTACCATGGCAGCCCAGAAGTAAAACACATAACTTGTGCTTACATAAATTGTGCTTATATTCCATTGTCCAGAACTAACTAATATGGTCACCTACCTATAAAGGACAGTTGAGGAAGAGAGTCAGATTATGTATCCAGCAAGACAAGGAGAAGACATTTATGGTGAGCACTGGCAGGCCCTGCCAAACCATATAGCTGCATGTCTACTCACTAGCATTCCTCGATGTTAGTGTTTGTTATAAAATTTTATAACAATCTCTCTTTCTCTTTCTCTCTCTCTCTCACACACACACATGCACGTACACACACACACATACACACACACACACAGACTCTATTGGTTCTGTTTCTCTGGAGACCCTTCATCTGAAAAATGTATGAATTTTTGATATTTGGATAAAATATCAATTATGAGAATTGTTTATAATATATTTTGAGCTGCTGGTTCCTTTAATTATTATTTATTTTATTTTTATTTTTTTGAGACAGGGTCTCACTCATGTCACCTAGGCTGGAGTGCAGTTGTGCGATCACAACTCACTGAACCCTCAACCTCCCAGGCTCAGGTGATCCTCCGACCTCATCTTCCCAGGTAGCTGGGACTATAGGCATGCACCACATGCCCAGCTAATTTTTTTAGAGATGGGGTTTCACCATGTTGCCTAGGCTGGTCCTGAACTCCTGGGTTCAAGTGATCCACCCACCTTGGCCTCCCAAAGTGCTAGGATTACAGGCATGAGCCACCATGCCCAACCCCTAATTATTATTTCTCAGTAATTTAGACAGTTATAGAAACCCCCATCTTATTCCTATATTTGTTCATTTTGAGAACATGTTTGATAATATTCAACTGCACTTTACAAGGCTAATCAGCATTTGTCAAAAGATAAAGCTTCTACAACCTCCCCCCACCCCACCCCACAGATTGCATGCTTCCATTTATATGAAGTGTCTAGAATAGGCAAATCTATAGAGAGAGAAACTGGATTAGTGGTTGCCTAGGGCTGGGGGTGGGAAGAGTGTGAATGAGGAGTGACTGCTGCAAGGTTTCTTTTTTGGATGATGGAAATCTTCTACAATTAGATTATGGGAGTGGCTGTACAATTCTCTAAGTACACTAAAAATCATTGAATTGTATACTTTAAACAGATGAATTTTACAGTATGTAGATTATATCTCAATAGCCCTTTTCCTTATAATAGAGCTGATGTAATTCAATTAATTTTTCTTATTGGTGAAAGCTTTCAGATTACCTCCTAACCCATGTCAGCCTGAAAAGAAGGGTTGGCAGAAAATGCTGAGGAAGACTCAGAACAAAAGGACAAAGGCAGGAGGATAGTCTGAGCCCAGGAATTCAAGGCCAGCCTGGAGCCAGTCAGTGAGTCAACGAGTCAGTGAATGGGCATGTGGTGAGGGCCTACACCATTTCAGGCACCATTCTGGGACCTGAAAATGGAAACACAAAGAAAACCACAGTCTTTGTCTTCAGGGGATTCGCAATCTAGTGAAAGAGTCAGATTTGTACCAAGTGCCATATGCTACATTTTGGGTGCAATAATTTAGGTTAATACAAGATCATATGAAGCAGCAGAAAGGCTAGTCATACCTAGATATTTTTAAATATTTAATGCAATTACATTGTCCACAGCCAGTAGAGACTTTTCCTTTCATATTTTCAGGATGACTTGTACTTTTTATTTTTTGCTTGAAGTATTTACCTTTCTCCATTTATTTTATTAATTTACATATTAATTTTACAAATATGTACCAGTTAGGTTGTTAGATATTGGGACATGATCACATACACAGAAGATTACAATCCTTCATGCAGTATCCATATTTAACTCAGCTTGGGGAGGTTTCAAAGTCTTCTTGGAGGAGGTGATGCCTGACCTTGGTCTTGAAGGATGTGTAAGAATCAAAGAGGGGGAGGAAGTGCAGAAGAGGGTACACAAAAGCATATGGAAACAAAATATATTTGGGGAACTTCTTTTTTCCTATGTCTCTGTCCATATTAGTTAAGATAAATATCAGCTGTGGGAACAGACACATCCCCAAAATTGTAGTGGTTTATCATAATAGCAAATATTTTCCTTGCTTATGTAAAGTCCAAATGATGGGACCTGGACACAGGGGTTCATACAGAGACCTTGCAGGATTCAACACATGGCTTCCGA